>NC_000016.10:60926136-61229166 GCF_000001405.40 Homo sapiens
CCCATTTTAAATTCCTTTGTAGTAGAACTGAGGCTGGTGTCTCCACAGGGGAAAGAGCTGTGTCCTCTGCTCATTGGGCTGCGTAGGCCTTTCTCCTTTTCCTCACCCCTAGGGCTCCATAGCAAGCTGAGGGCCAGAAGAAGGACATAGTTAGGGTCTACTTGTCCTTCCCAGTCCCATGGTGATGAGAATGGCTTTTATCAGGAGTTTTGTCTTTTTCCTTTCTTTTATTTTCTCTGGGCTTCAGCATTACATTGGAACATCTTGTGGCTTCACTCTTCTTCTTTTTTTTTTTTTTTATCACTTTTGTTTTGTTTTGTTTCTGAGACAGAGTTTCACTCTGTTTCCCAGGCTTCGCAATCACAGCTCATGGTAGCCTCAACCTCCTGGGCTCTAGTGGCCTTTCCACCTTGGCCTGCTGAGTAGATGGGACTAAAAGCATGTGCCTTCACACCTGTCTAAGTTTCTTAAATGTTTTTTATAGGAACAGAGTCTCTTGCTATATGGCCCAGGCCAGTCTTGAACACCTAGGCTCAAGCAATCCTCCTGCCTCAGCCTCCCAAAGTACTAGAATTACAGACATGAGTCACCACACCCAGCCTCATCCTGTTCTTCATGTAAACTTCAGTCTGCAGGGTAGAAGGAAGGAACCTCACTACTGAACTCCGAGCTTTTTCTGCAACAGGTTTGCCATTTGTGTCTGCTCTTGAAATCACTGCAAGCATCCTGCTGCCTAGGGAGAGACTGGAAGCTCCTGCTGACATGCTGAAAGTACTCTCTGAGGACAAGGGCATGCTTGCAACACTTGCTACAAACATGTTAAGACCCTCTAAAAATGTGTCAGAAGTGCCTGGAAAGGTCATGCTGGCTCTGCTTCTCCAGGATCAGGAAGGCTGTTCCTGCCCATGCTGTCTTTTTCTGGCCTGCCTTCATGTTGGATTCCTTCCTTTCCCAGCATTATCAGAAGAGGCAGTTCTAAACACCTCAGGGACCCTGTAAAGCCTCCTGATGCTGACCTGGCATTGACCTCCCTCTCTATCAAGCTCCTTGGCAGGTGGGAAGGGAAAACAAGTGAAGTAGAGAAGATGAGACCAGAAAGATGTGACCAGAGATGACCGCCTCTCTTATATAGCAGAACAACTCAAGAGCTTATGATTAGAAGAATTTTCAGATCATCAAGTCCAATCTTCCATATGATGCAGGAAAACCCTCTAGAGTACCTCCCAGAATGGCCGTTCTGGTTTTGCTAGAACCAATTCACCAGTAAACATTCTCATAGACTTATATTTTATACAGTTGTGTTAGTATTGTCACAGAATAAATTCCTATAAGTGAGACTGCTGGTCATCGGGAATGCATAATTTACATTTTGATAACAAATAGAAAATTGTGCATGTGCAGACAATCATGTTGCACTGCCATTAATGTGTACAGAAATTTGTGCATGGCAGTCACGGGGAGGAAGATTATGGCTCAAAGAAAAAAACTTTCTAATAGTTAGAAATGCCCATGACAGATCAGATTGCCTGGGCTAGGGTAGGAAGTATTCCAAAATAGATTGGAGGGTGAGGATGCATATAGGGTATGACAGGAGAAGCTGACATCAAGAGAACTCTGGAATTCAGCCTTGGAGAACAATTGGAAGAAGCACCAGGGGCCTCTCCAACATGGCAAGGCCTCAGAATGGACCCCACACCCTTCCAGATGTGAGTCACCTTCCCAATGAACCTAAGAGAACATCAAAAGGTTTTGTAGAAGCAGCTTTTACCTACTCTCCCAAAGTTTCCTGGCTCTATCTTCTAGAGACTCTGCAAAGACTGACTGCTGTGTCAAACACAGGCATGCCCATTGTGGCTGCAGCTGGGATGCATTGGGTGCTGCTAGAATACTCTAGAGGTAAAAAGAGGTAAATGTGGCTTTTCCAATGAACAAAAAGATCTTCTACACACAACCAAAAAGTGAAATGGCAGCCAAGTGGCAAGCTTCTGGAAGAGTTACTGCTTTTCAATATCATTGGCAAATATTTTTACCAATTCCAATG
Source organism: Homo sapiens (assembly GCF_000001405.40). Classification (NCBI taxonomy): domain Eukaryota; kingdom Metazoa; phylum Chordata; class Mammalia; order Primates; family Hominidae; genus Homo; species Homo sapiens. The sequence continues at coordinate 60,928,178 of NC_000016.10, forward strand.
AAAACAACCAGTTACCTCTAAGGTGTTACTAAGCTTGTTGTCTCTAGCCTGGATGTCATAGCCATGTTTGGCATATTCTTCACAGTTTGCAGCTAGTCCACTTAGCAATGTGACATTAGGTAGTGCAAGGCTGGGGCTATACACAATGGGAGAAAATGCCCACAGTCACATTTTCAACTTGGCTGTGCACATGAGTCATAACCCCTTTGCTAATGTGGCTAAAGTCTTTCTCAAACATTTGTGTACATTTGAATATAGCATAATCTCCCTTGCACAGTTGTCACTGCAGTTTCTCCATGGAGGTATTAAACATGGCCACTGCACTGCTGCATTGAGCTGTGCAATACAGTAACAAGGTTGTTGCTCAAGGTTACATTTAATGAAAGCAGCTCCTCATGGCTCCACCAACCCTTCCTTGCTATGCCTTCCCATGCTCCCTATATTCCCTGACAGTTGTTGGAGGGAGGGAAGGAGGCCACTGAGCAATTGAGGGTGATGTCAGGCATTTCCAGCCTGAACCCAGATGTGTCCAAAAGGGCACAGAGATGTGGGACACACCCAGGAGGAGCCTCTCTCCAAGTTGGATGCTCTGGTTCACCACCACCTCAAAGTGAACCAGCAACTGCAATGCTCCAAAGATGACTCTTTCTCTGGAGCCTCCAACTGGGCCTAAACCTGCTGGAGGGCCCCTTTCATTCTCTCCTGTTCATGGTGACTTGTTACCATTACACACCCCTTTGTTCCTGCTCCCTGCAACCATCCATCTGTGCAGGACAGTGCCTCTGGGAGACCCATCAGAGGCAGGAGTATGGGATAGTCGGGGTGGCTAAATTGGCCTTTATAAAGTAAAACAACATGCTGGACAGTGGGGATCCTAACCAAACATAATTCAGGGTCATCTTTTACCCCAATTTTCTTTTTGAGGCAGAAATTAAAAACAGTAATGAGTCAAGTCTTACTACCAATTGATAGAAAAATGATTTCTACTCCCTTTTTTATCTAGTTTAATGTGTTCTATTAAAATCATAAATGGTATTATAATTTTCTATCTCCAACAATGAAAATTTGCATAGCAGTGTATGAAAGAGAGATGTATTTTTTATGGGATATTTCTGAAATTAGAAGAAAGCAAACAGAAACTTCTGTGGAACATTTATCCAACATATTTTAGAGAAGGGCAGACTTTAATTGTGGAAATGCAGGCGCCGAGTATATCACATGGATAGAAGCTCAGTATCAAGTGACTTACAGGCTATCAGCTCTGTCAAGTACCTTAAAATTACCCCAGTATAGTGAGTCTTATTTCTCATTTTACATTATTTGAAAGGTGCAGAAATATCTGCCAGGTGGTGAAAACATTCCCTTTGGTTATTTGTCTTGTTTGCTATTCTGCAAGAGATTTATTTTCTTTCTTCCATGTGAAATATATATAAAATTGCTAAAGGATTTTCAGACCATTAAGTTATTTAATGTTATTTATCCTTAAAGTTTAATGTTAACTAACTCATTTAAATATAGCCACTCTTTTCTAGCAAGCCAACACTTTGTGCTAGAAAATAGAATGATGCTTTTCATTCACTATCAATATATTCCTGTTTACATTCTTTCTCAGTTACTTCTATAAGTTGAATGATTTTGAGCAAATGATTGTCAGTGTAAAAGGACACAGGTCAAGCAGGCACAGCAAAACAGCATATCTGACAGCCTTTTTTGCACTTTCTTCAATATGAGAGCATTACATAGTTATCAGAGCAAGGGAACTGACATCAGACAACCTGTACTCAAACCCCATTTCTGTCTCTCTTAGTTGTGGGACATTAGGCAGGTTTCTTGACCTCTCATAGCTGTATTATTCCTACCTACAGTGTTGACATAATGTCATCTTACTTCATAGGGATTGACTGAGAATTTAAGTCACTGCAGAGAAAGCTCTCAGTCCAGGGACTGATACGCAATAGGTACTCAATAAATGGTAGCTGTTCTTACCAATGAGTCACAAGTATGTCTTTCACACAGCCATCAATCTAAGTAACAAAAAGCTCTAAATAAACAGTTCTTTTAATCTGTTTAGAAGGTTAGAAATTCTTATTATTAATACTTGCCGTGTATACATACACACAGATTAAGCATACAGAGGCATTGCTCACAAATCTCATTCTCAGGTGGGGCAGAGATCCTGGGAAAAAAAGCAACTCTAAGGCACAAAACAAGTGTTGCACTGATCTACATGGGAGGTGATCTGTTGCTTTACTCTTAGGATTTCTGGCCACGTATAGCTGAGGAGAGGAGAGAACACACCATGCATTTTAAAAGAGGCCCACGGGAGGGGTACTGGAAGGAATGGAAACAGTCAGTGAACTGGACATTCAAGAATCAAAGCAGAGAGCAAATTTCCAACTGCGCTTTCAGTTACTTTCTCAGGAGGGAGTCAAGAATGAGAGACAAGAGAATGAGACTGAACTCCTGATGAGCTGTTCTGACCTTCGTAGCTTTGTGATGTTGTATTTTTCGTATGCCATATCCTATGAAAAAATTTTTGAATGCCTATACTGCAGTCTCAATGTTTGTGCCCCCACCCCAAATTCATATGTTGAAACCTAATCACCAACATCATGGAATTAAGAAGGTGGTACCTTTGGGATGTAATGAGGTCATGACAGCTCTGTTTTCATGAATGAGATTAATGCTCTTAGAAAAGAGACCTTAGAGAACTAGCTAGCGTCTTCCACCACATGAGAATGCAGTAAGAAGGCATCATCTATAAAGCAGAAAACAGGCCCTCACCAGACACAGAATGTGTTGGTTACATTCTTATGGACTTCTCAGCTTTCAGAGCTGTGATACCTTAATTTCTATTATTTACAAGCTATTTGGGCAATGGCATTGTTTTATAGCAGCCCAAATGGACTAAGGCCACCTACTATGTGTTAGATTCAGTGTTACAAAGTGGGAATAAAGATAAAAAATGTATAATTGTTTCTGCTCTGAAGGTACAAGTGGGGGCTGTGTAGGGATAAACAAATAAATAACTAGTTTATTATATTATGGAAGATAAATTATCTGAGGGTAATAGGCACCACTTTACATAGAAGCACAGTAAAGAGACAACCTTGAAGTCCTCCAGGGTAGGAGAAAAATTTATCGCAATTTAAAGAGAGAATAGGAATAACTCAGACAGAGATGGGACATGGTGGTCATTTCAGACCAAGGGAACAGCGTGAGCAAAGGCCAAAGGCAAGACTGATCATTCAAAGAATAGTCAGTAGTTCATGTTAGACTAGAATCAAACTATTATTATTTATTACTTGTAAGTAATAAAACTTACAAGTAAGACTGGAGATAAGCAGAATAGAGATTGTGTAGGACCTTGAAGGCCTTGTTAAGAGCCTTACCTTTATCCTGAGTACCATGACCCATGGAAAGCAGGTGAGGAAGTCAATGTGAGTGTGCTTTAGAAAATTAACTCTGGCTTCAGTGAGGACAATGGACTGGAGTGATATAAAGGTTAAAGAAGAAAGAGGACTTTTTTAGTGTCTTCAGAAGGTCTTGAAATCTGGTTAAATACTAGCAACAAACAGGGAAAGAATGGTATTCGTGGATTCTTGAAAGATGAGAGTGATTATCTCAGTAAATGTGAAATGTGACTGTCTTCTACTTTGACCATAACCCTAGATCTGGAGTTTTGAAAGGAAATTCAGTCCTTCTCTCATTGATTTGTTTATTTAGTCTTCCATTGAACCAACATGTAACGAACATTTTGTGTTGTAGCCTGTGCTAAGGATGGCAGATATGAAGATAATGCCAAAGAACATGGCTTGAAGGATCTCATTGTATTTCAAGTATTGAAAACATGCATATCATATGACAATGTAGTGTTGTCAAAGCTATAGTAGAGGTGTGCTCAAATATGTCATTCTGCATTATGTTTTCCTCTTTCACAATGCCAGTGAAACTAGAGGCTCCCATTTTATTAATGAAAATAATCTAATCATATCCTTTCAAACCCAAAACAGATCATCTATTTCTGACTTTTTTAAACTTAGTTTTGAAGGTTGAGCAGGAAGCTGAAGATCCACGTTGGATGGAGCCAGAGGAGCCTTTCCTCTGTTTCCAGTTATGGCATAGTGAGACCTAGAGTCAAGTCTTAGCTATGACACCCGCTGCTGAACCAACTTAGAACATATTTATTACCTTTCCTAAAACCTCATTATATTTATTTGCAAGAAAAAGAGTTACAGTCCATGGTCTTAATTATTTGAGAGAAACACACCGTCATGCAAATTTAGACTAGGTAAACAATAAATGCATCACAATTTCTCTGCACATAGAATAAACCATTGGCAGAGTCTCAGGGCAAAGGTATATTGGGGGCTGGAAATCAGGGTTGAGATAAGAACTGGGAAGAGCTTTAAACTGGAAATGATAGAACTGAGCAAAGAACTAGAACAGTAGTGTATATAAGGTAGAATTCAAAGGAAAAAAATGAAGAGATTGTAAATTAGACAAACCAAGTGTGAAAGCTCACAGTACATGCAGCCAATTCTCCAACAAACACAGACCAAAAATCAAACAAACATAAAACAACAAAAAAGAAAGAAGCGTGGTGAAAACTAAGAGAAGAGCCTACTGACAGAGCCTAGGAAGATTTTCATCCCGAATATTTCCATCTCTTCTCTTTTCTTCTTTTCTTTCCTTTTCTTTCATTTCCTTTTCCCTCCTTTTCTTTTCTCTTCTCTTTTTCCTTTGTTATTCAGCTTTTTACTCCCGCATGTTTTAAAAGTCCCCAGAATTTCTGACACCTTTATAACATATCTCTCTAAAACTGCTTCTTGTTTATGTGTACATGTATCTTGTCACCTCAATAATTTGTGGTTAATTTTGCATGAGACATGAGTCAAGTTAAATAGGCTTTAGCCCTAAGGAAGCAGTAACAAATTACTCTTTAAAAAATTCATTGCTATGTTAACAGTATTATAATTTCTGTGCATCAATGGTACAAAACTACCATTAATTTTCAATGCCTTATTGGATAGAATCTTAATTCATCCTTATGGATGTTTTAGTGGGAAAACATTGCTCCCTCTCTCTGACCTGCTTAAAAAAAGCAGCGGAAATAATTATAGTTAAGATGCATGATATTGGGAAGAACTTTTGGAAACAGAACAAAACGTGTGGAGTCCTATTTTTGACATTCTATCTTTGCATGAACTTGTGATTTTGCATACTGTGCCTAATATTTCTAAACTTCCAATCCTTTCCTTCTAAGGCAAATGTGGATTAATAGCTATTAAGATCATAATGAGGATTGAATATATTAATGTTTACAAAATATGAATCATAGTCCCAGACATAAAATAATCGTTCACAAAATGGTAGCTATCATTATTTAATTATCTAGGCTGCTGTTGTTGTTGTTTATTTTTTTCCCGGAAGGCTTATCTGATAAAATGTTTATAGGCTAGAAAAATACTTCAAGAAAAATCTAAACAAAAATATTTCCTTTCCCATAAATCATTTTAAGTGAAAATGTTTTTGAAGTTTTACAAATTGACTTCTGATACTATCTGTAGGATAATGTCTGTGAATAGAGAAGGAAATAACGACTTTAGGCTTGTGCAGCTCCCTAGTGACATAAAATCAATCACTTACATCCTTGCATGTAGTCTTTCTCCTGCTCATTGCACATACTGGTGGAGCAAGACAGCTATTAAAATCCATTAACCTGATATTCTTCTTTAAGTTGAGAGATGTGTCCAGATGATAGGATAAAATATTTAAGAAAAACGTTTACTAGAGAGTTCAGATGGTCTGTTTTGTCAGGTTCACCCTCACTCACTGGAAAACATTTCTTTTGTTGAAACGTTAAGCAGTGCCTCCAGGAAGGAAATAAATTAATTCTAACTTCCTCAGTGAGTGGCATTTTCTGAGTCTGAAGCTCCTCAACATGGTTCCTTAGGGTAATGATCACAAAGTCAAGAGATCAAGACCATCCTAGCCAACATGGTGAAACCCCGTCTCTACTAAAAAGACAAAAATTAACCAGGCTTGGTGGCATGCATCTGTAGTTCCAGCTACTCGGGAGGCTGAGACAGGAGAATCGCTGGAACCCGAGAGGCGGAGGTTGCAGTGACCAGAGATTGCACCACTGCACTCCAGCCTGGTGACAGAGTGAGACTCCATCTCAAAAACAAAAACAAAAACAAAAGGGTTACCCAGAGCCAGGGCCCTTCTGTGATTCTCAGGTTGAATTTGAAGACATGGGTATTAAGAAAGGGCTCGTTGTTGTACATTGTGCTGTAATACCACTTGGTTAAATTTGTAGATTTTGTCCCTCTCCGTTATCAATCACCATATTCTTCTCAGCCTTGGCATAAGTATAATTTTATGATACACCACAATAAAACAGATTTGTTTGGTATGATCACTGTACTTCAAACTTAATTGAGAATTGCTCTATGATATCAGGCAATAAAGTCGTTGTGATAAATAATAAAGAGCAGAGTGGGAGAGGAACTGAGATAGATAATCAAGGGAATAAAACTATGTTTTCATTTGGAGATTGATGGACCTTGAGGTGCTAAAACATGCAGGGAGAGAAATGTTTCCTGGTGATAAAGGCAAAAGAAAATAAAGCCTTATGGTGACTGTGGTAAAATAGCAGATAAGATAAAAAAGAAATAGACCTCCATGAGTACAACGAGGAAATATGGAAGGTTAGCCTATGGAAAATTTGTCCATATTTTCAATTATTACCCTAAACATCCAAGTACGTATTTGGATAAAAATAGTAATTTCTCTACTCATCAATGAAAGAGAAAGAAGGCAAATGTTAATATATACAATGTAAATGGCTTTCACAGATATTATGATAAGCACAAAATCAGACACATAGTGATACATATCCTTCAATTCCTTTTGTGTGATTTTTAAGAATGGACAAGATTAATTAGTGATGATGCAAGTCCAAATACTAGTTATACTTGGAGGGTAGGAGAGTACCTAGTAATAGAAGGTAAAATGGAGCTTACTGGGACAGTAGAAATTTTTTTAAAAAAACTTTTAGCTTTTCAGTGAACGAGTTATTGTGTCTGTGCATTTATGTATATAGATACATATATTCATACATTATGTACACTTGAGAGTTACCCAGTTTATATATGTTATACCATATTTTTTAAAGAAGGATAAAATTGTAGATTTATGAAGCCAACTTCTAAATTTTGATACACATTTTCTTCTGTGAGTGTTCTCAGGACTGATGTAGTATTTCAATTTGCATCTTACAAAAAGCTTTATGACTATGTAGAATCTTGATGTATGTTGTTGCATGAGATATGGGGGAAGAGAAATGTGTCATTAAAGGGGAGGAACATAAAGTGAGCATCTATTTTTACCAAATGATTAGTATTTACATTCTCAATCATCATAACTATCCTGTAAAGTAAATTATATCTCATTTGTTTTACAGGTGAAGAAGTAAAGGCTTTGGGAGGTTAAGTAGGCTACCCAGAATCTGTAAGCTACTCAGCAATTAAAAATCAAAGCCAGAAAAATAATACAAATCTAAATCTAAAACCCACAGTTTCTTGTAATGTTCCTTTCTATATAAATGATATTAGCCAAATAATTTAATAATATTATAAGTTTATGCTTGGAGATAGATAATTAAATTTGTGTTCATGAAAAAATGGAAAAACTATAGGATTTTAAAAGTTGACATGTTTACTTAATCTTTGTTTATTTCATTTTCAAAGTGGATTTGAAGCAAGTAGGGGTTTTAAGAATTAGACTTTTGGTGGAGCCAAGGTGGCCAAATAGGAACAGCTCCAGTCTACAGCTCCCAGCGTGAGCGACGCAGATGAATGATTTCTGCTTTTCTAACTGAGGTACCGGGTTCATCTCACTGGGGATTGTCAGACAGTGGGTGCAGGACAGTGGGTGCAGAGCACCGAGCATGAGCTGAAGTAGCAAGGGGTCAGGGAATTCCCTTTCCTAGCCAAGAAAAGGGGTGACAGACAGCACCTGGAAAATTGGGTCACTCCCACCCTAATACTGCACTTTTCCAATGGTCTTAGCAAACGGCACACCAGGAGATAGTATCCCGCGCCTGGCTCAGAGGGCCCTACACCCACAAAGCCTTGCTCATTGCTAGCACAGCAGTCCGAGATCAAACTGCAAGGTGGAAGCGAAGCGGGGGGAGGGGCGCCCGCCATTGCCGAGGCTTGAGTAGGTAAGCAAAGCGGCCAGGAAGCTTGAACTGGGTGGAGCCCACCACAGCTCAAGGAGGCATGCCTGCCTCTGTAGACTCCACCTCTGGGGGCAGGGCATAGCCAAACAAAAGGCAGCAGAAACTTCTGCAGACTTAAATGTCCCTGTCTGACAGCTTTGAAGAGAGTAGTCATTCTCCCAGCACGCAGCTGGAGATCTGAGAACAGACAGCCTGCCTACTCAAGTGGGTCCCTGACCCCCAAGTAGCCTAACTGGGAGGCACCCCCCAGTAGGGGCAGACTGACACCTCACATGGCTGGGTACTCCGCTGAGACAAAACTTCCAGAGGAATGATCAGGCAGCAACATTTACTGTTCACCAATATCCACTGTTCTGCAGCCTCTCCTGCTGATACCCGGGCAAACAGGGTCTGGAGTGGACCTCCAGCAAACTCCAACAGACCTGCAGCTGAGGGTCCTGTCTGTTAGAAGGAAAGCTAACAAACAGAAAGGACATCCACACCAAAAACCCCATCTGTACATCACCATCATCAAAGACCAAAGGTAGATAAAACCACAAAGATGGGGAAAAAACACAGCAGAAAAACTGAAAATTCTAAAAGGCAGAGTGCCTCTCCTCCTCCTAAGGAATGCAGCTCCTCACCAGCAACGGAACAAAGCTGAATGGAGAATGACTGACAAGTTGAGAGAAGAAGGCTTCAGACAATCAAACTACTCTGAGCTAAAGGAGGAAGTTTGAAACCATGGCAAAGAAGTTAAAAACCTTGAAAAAAGATTAGGCGAATGGCTAACTAGAATAACCAATGCAGAGAAGTCCTTAAAGGACCTGATGGAGCTGAAAACCATGGCAGGATAACTACGTGACAAATGCACAGGACTCAGTAGACGATTTGATCAACTGCAAGAAGGGTATCAGTGATGGAAGATCAAATGAATGAAATGAAGCAAGAAGAGAAGTTTAGAGAAAAAAGAATAAAAAGAAACAAACAAAGCCTCCAAGAAATATGGGACTATGTGAAAAGACCAAATCTACATCTGACTGGTGTACCTGAAAGTGACAGGGAGAATGGAACCAAGTTGGAAAGCACTCTGCAGGATATTATCCAGGAGAACTTCCCCAATCTAGCAAGGCAGGCCAACATTCAGATTCAGGAAATACAGAGAACACCACAAAGATACTCCTCGAGAAGAGCAACTCCAAGACACATAATTGTCAGATTCACCAAAGTTGAAATGAAGGAAAAAATGTTAAGGGCAGCCAGAGAGAAAGATCGGGTTACCCACAAAGGGAAGCCCATCAGACTAACAGCTGATCTCTCGGCAGAAACTCTACAAGCCAGAAGAGAGTGGGGACCAATATTCAACAATCTTAAAGAAAAGAATTTTCAACCCAGAATTTCATATCCAGCCAAACTAAGCTTCATAAGTGAAGGAGAAATAAAATCCTTCACAGACAAGCAAATGCTGAGAGATATAGTCACCACCAGGCCTGCCTTAAAAGAGCTCCTGAAGGAAGCACTGAACATGGAAAGGAAAAATCGTACCAGCCACTGCAAAAACATGCCAAATTGTAAAGACCATCGAGGCTAGGAAGAAACTGCATCAACTAACGAGCAAAATAACCAGCTAACATCATAATGACAGGATCAAATTCACACAAAACAATATTAACCTTAAATGTAAATGGGCTAAATGCTGCAATTAAAAGACACAGACTGGCAAATTGGATAAAGAGTCAAGACCCATCAGTATGCTGTATTCAGGAAACCCATCTCACGTGCAGAGACACACATAGGCTCAAAATAAAGGGATGGAGGAAGATCTACCAAGCAAATGGAAAACAAAGAAAGGCAGGGGTTGCAATCCTAGTCTTTGATAAAACAGACCTTAAACCAACAAAGATCAAAAGAGACAAAGAAGGCCATTACATAATGGTAAAGGGATCAATTCAACAAGAAGAGCTAACTATCCTAAATATATATGCACCCAATACAGGAGTACCCAGATTCATAAAGCAAGTGCTTAGAGACCTACAAAGAGACTTAGACTCCCACACGCAATAATAATGGGAGACTTTAACACCCCACTGTCAACATTAGACAGATCAATGAGACAGAAAGTTAAAAAGGATATCCAGGAATTGAACTCAGCTCTGCAACAAGTGGACCTAATAGACATCTACAGAACTCTCCACCCCAAATCAACAGAATATACATTCTTCCCAGCACCACACCACACCTATTCCAAAATTGACCACATAGTTGGAAGTAAAGCACTCCTCAGCAAATGCAAAAGAACAGAAATTATAACAAACTGTCTCTCAGACCACAGTGCAATCAAACTAGGATTAAGAAACTCACTCAAAACCGCTCAACTACATGGAAACTGAACAACATGCTCCTGAATGACTACTGCCTTCATAATGAAATGAAGGCAGAAATAAAGATGTTCTTTGAAACCAACGAGAACAAAGACACAACATACCAGAATCTCTGGGACACATTCAAAGCAGTGTGTAGAGGAAATTTATGGCACTAAATGCCCACAAAAGAAAGAAGGAAAGATCTGAAATTGACACCTTAACATCAAAATTAAAAGAACTAAAGAAGCAAGAGCAAACACATTCAAAAGCTAGCAGAAGGCAAGAAATAACTAAGATCAGAGCAGAACTGAAGGAAATAGAGACACAAAAAACCCTTCAAAAAATCGATAAATCCAGGAGCAAGTTTTTTGAGAAGATCAACAAAATTGATAGACTGCTAGCAAGACTAATAAAGAAGAAAAGAGAGAAGAATCAAATAGACGCAATAAAAAATGATAAAGGGGATATCACCACCAATCCCACAGAAATACAAACTACCATCAGAGAATACTATAAACACCTCTATGCAAATAAACTAGAAAATCTAGAAGAAATGGATAAATTCCTTGACACATACACCCTCCCAAGACTAAACTAGGAAGAAGTTGAATCTCTGAATAGACTAATAACAGGCTCTGAAATTGAGGCAATAATTAATAGCTTACCAACCAAAAAAAGTCCAGGACCAGATGGATTCACAGCCAAATTCTACCAGAGGTACAAGGAGGAGCTGGTACCATTCCTTCTGAAACTATTCCAATAAACAGAAAAAGAGGGAATCCTCCCTAACTCATTTTATGAGGCCAGCATCATCCTGATACCAAAACCTGGCAGAGACGCAACAAAAAAAGAGAATATCCCTGACGAACATCAATGCAAAAATCCTCAGTAAAATACTGGCAAACTGAATCCAGCAGCACATCGAAAACCTTATGCACCATGATCAAGTTGGCTTCATCCCTGGGATACAAGGCTGGTTCAACATATGCAAATCAATAAACGTAATCCAGCATATAAACAGAACCAATGACAAAAACCACATGGATTTTCTCAATAGATGCAGAAAAGGCCTTTGACAAAATTCAACAACCCTTCATGCTAAAAACCCTCAACAAATTACGTATTGATGGGACATACATCAAAATAATAAGAGCTATCTATGACAAACCCACAGCCAATATCATACTGAATGCGCAAAAACTGGAAGCATTCCCTTTGAAAACTGGCACAAGAGAGGGATGCCCACTCTCACCACTCCTATTCAACATAGTGTTGGAAGTTCTGGCCAGGGCAATCAGGCAGGAAAAGGAAATAAAGGGTATTCCATCAGGAAAAGAGGAAGTCAAATTTTCCCTGTTTGCAGATGACATGATTGTATATTTAGAAAACCCCATCATCTCAGCCCAAAATCTCCTTAAGCTGATAAGCAACTTCAGCAAAGTCTCAGGATACAAAATCAATGTGCAAAAATCACAAGCATTCTTATACACCAATAGCAGACAAACAGAGAGCCAAATCATGAGTGAACTCCCATTCACAATTACTTCAAAGGGAATAAAATACTTGGAATCCAACTTACAAGGGATGTGAAGGACCTCTTCAAGGAGACCTACAAACCACTGCTCAATGAAATAAAAGAGGATACAAACAAATGGAAGAACATTCCATGCTCATGGGTAGGAAGAATTGATATTGTGAAAATGGCCATACTGCCCAAAGTAATTTATAGATTCAGCGCCATCCCCATCAAGCTACCAATGGCTTTCTTCACAGAATTGGAAAAAACTACTTTAAAGTTCATATGAAACCAAAAAAGAGCCCGCATTGCCAAGTTAATCCTAAGCCAAAAGAACAAAGCTGGAGACATCATGCTAACCTGACTTCAAACTATACTTCAAGGCTACAGTAAACAAAACAGCATGATACTGGTACCAAAACAGAGATATAGACCAATGGAACAGAACAGAGCCCTCAGAAATAATGCCACATATCTACAACTATCTGATCTTTGACAAACCTGAGAAAAACAAGTAATGGGGAAAGGATTCCCTATTTAATAAATGGTGCTGGGAAAACTGGCTAGCCATATGTAGAAAGCTGAAACTGGATCCCTTCCTTACACCTTATACAAAAATTAATTCAAGATGGATTAAAGACTTAAATGTTATACCTAAAACCATAAAAACCCTAGAAGAAAACCTAGGCAATACTATTCAGGACATAGGCACAGGCAAGGACTTCATGTCTAAAACACCAAAAGCAATGGGAACAAAAGCCAAAATTGACAAATGGGATCTAATTAGATTAAAGAACTTCTGCACAGCAAAAGAAACTACCATCAGAGTGAACAGGCAACCTATAGCATGGGAGAAAATTTTTGCAATCTACTCATCTGACTCTTGCAGGAAGTCAGGAACCCCGAATGGAGGGACCAGCTGAAGCCATGGCAGAAGAACATAAATTGTGAAGATTTCATGGACATTTATTAGTTCCCCAAATTAATACTTTTATAATTTCTTATGCCTGTCTTTACTGCAATCTCTGAACATAAATTCTGAAGATTTCATGGACACTTATCAGTTCCTCAATCAATACCCTTGTGATTTCCTATGCCTGTCTGTACTTTAATCTCTTAATCCCATCATCTTCGTAAGCTGAGGAGGATGTATGTCACCTCAGAATCTTGTGATGATTGCGTTAACTGCACAAATTGTTTGTAGAGCATGTATGTTTAAACAATATAAAATCTGGGAAGCTTGAAAAAAGAACAGGATAACAGCAATATTCAGGGAACAAAAGAGATAACCTTAAACTCTGACCGCCAGTGAGCCGGGCTGAACAGAGCCATATTTCTCTTCTTTCAAAAGCAAATGTGAGAAATATCACTGAATTCTTTTTCTCAGCAAGGAACATCCCTGAGAAAGAGAGTGCATCCCTGAGGGTAGGCCTCTAAAATGGCCACTTCGGGGGGCAGCCATCTTTTATGGTAGAAGCTGTAGGGATGAAATAAGCCCCAGTCTCCCGTAGCGCTCCCAGGCTTATTAGGATGAGGAAATTCCCACCTAATAAATTTTGGTCAGACTGGTTGTCTGCTCCCAAACCCTGTCTCCTGACAAGATGTTATCAATGACAATGCATGCCTAAAACTTCATTAGCAATTTTAATTTCCCACTGGTCCTGTGGTCCTGTGATCTCGCCCTGCCTCCATTTGCCTTGTGATATTCTATTACCTTGTGAAGCACGTGATCTCTGTGACCCACACCCTATTCATACACTCCCTCCACTTTTGAAATCACTAATAAATTCTTGCTGGTTTTAAGGCTCGGGGGGCATGACGAAACCTGCCGACATGTGATGTCACTCCCGGACACCGAGCTTTAAAATTTCTCTCTTTTGTACTCTGTCCCTTTATTTCTCAGACTGGCCGACACTTAGGGAACATAGAAAAGAACCTACATGAAATATCGGGGGTGAATTTTGCCTGATATCTGGCTGAATTTCCCCTGATATCTGACAAAGGGCTAATATCCAGAATCTACAATGAACTCAAACAAATTTACAAGAAAAAAACAAACAACCCCATCAACAAGTGGGTGAAGGATATGAACAGTCACTTCTCAAAAGAAGACATTTATGCAGCCAAAAGACACATGAAAAAATGCTCATCATCACTGGCCATCAGAGAAATGCAAATCAAAACCACAATGAGATACCATCTCACACCAGTTAGAATGGCAATCATTAAAAAGTCAGGAAACAACAGGTGCTGGAGAGGATGTGGAGAAATAGGAACACTTTTACACTGTTGGTGGGACTGTAAACTAGTTCAACCATTGTGGAAGTCAGTGTGGCGACTCCTCAGGGATCTAGAACTAGAAATACCATTTGACCCAGCCATTACTGGGTATATACCCAAAGGACTATAAATCATGCTGCTATAAAGACACATGCACACGTATGTTTATTGTGGCATTATTCACAATAGCAAAGACTTGGAACCAACCCAAATGTCCAACAATGATAGACTGGATTAAGAAAATGTGGCACATATACACCATGGAATACTATGCAGCCATAAAAAATGATGAGTTCATGTCCTTTGTAGGGACATGGACGAAGCTGGAAACCATCATTCTCAGCAAACTATCACAAGGACAAAAAACCAAACACCACATGTTCACACTCATAGGTGGGAATTGAACAAGGAGAACACGTAGACACAGGAAGGGGAACATCACACACTGAGGCCTGTTGTGGGGTGGGGGTAGGGGCGAGGGATAGCATTAGGAGATATACCTAATGTAAATGACGAGTTAATGGGTGCAGCACACCAACGTGGCACATGTATACATATGTAACAAACCTTCACGTTGTGCACATGTACCCTAAAACTTTAATAATAATAAAAAAGAGCTTTTTAAAGGGGTTTCAGATGGTTAGGCTTCTTATGGTATAATTGCTAAGAAGACTAATTTTTTGTCAATATTATTAATGTCTTTCATTAAATATATTTAACTTCTAGCTAAAACTCTTAAATAAATTTTTAGCCTGGTGGGCATATAAGCTGGAAGGCACAAAAGCCTGCATTCACTTTTAGAGAAAATGGTTGAAATTCCAATATCTACTTATTCTATTTTAGTTCAGAGGAAAAAAATGGAGGCGGGACGGCAGGGGAGCTGGGAGTTTGTTCTCAAATGTTCGTAGAAGCCTTGATTGTAGTAGAAACCTTACCAGGGTTTGATGGGCAAATCAGCATGGAGTAAAAATGGTTCCTCTAATAGAAACTTCTTCCTTTTTGAACCTCTAATGTTTTAAATTTACTTTGAAACGTCTACCTTGTGGGCCTCTTTCTGCTTTCCAAAGTCACAAAAAATAAGGCATCTACGTACTCCTCAAGACAGCCTTTTATTTTTCCTGGAAGCCACTGAAAACCAAGGGTCTGCATCAGAGAATGCTGAGTGTTCATTCACTGGTGGTTTTTGAGGCAATATCTAGGGAATCCTTCTGTAGTGACTCCCCAGTGGAGATTCAAGAAACTTGTATAATTTCGGTTTAAAAACCTTTGAGGTATATTCCATTCAGACATTTTATGGGATATAGTCAAAAAGCACAAATATATATTTTAGTACTCCAATCCTTTGGGAAAGAGTGTTCTTGGGTAAAAATTGTGCACCTTGGATAAAAATATGCACCATAACAGAGATTCTGTTGTGCATTTATTTTATAGTTTTACTAAGACATACTGATACATTTCTTAAGGATAAAAAAGTGTTAATCTCCCCTCACTTATACAATAAAACCCTAAAATTAAAGTTGATCTAGTTAGTTTCCTTCTTCTACAATTGTCCATGATTTAACAATGCCACGATTCATCTTGTGACATCATATATGCCCTATATTATTGTGCAGAATATCCTTGCAATAGTGTGCACTCTTTTTATCTTTTTCCCACCTTTATTTTGTTGTACATATTTATGCAAAATTGTGTTTATTTGATTAGGTACATAGTAAACACATGGGAGGGAGGGGCCAAGTGATATACTTGGTGCCAATGTATTGTGATAAATATTACAAAAGCTTTCATTAAGTGAAGATAAGAGATATTCCAAAAGCTTTCATTAAGTGAAGGTAGGAGATATTCCAGAGATAAATGCATTGATTAAAAGTGAAGATGGCAGTGATAAGCTGACTTTTTTCCCACAATGCCTTTGGCTACTATAGATATGGTGATGGGAGTTTCTAATAGTAGAAGCCTCATTAAATTTGGCAAAACCTAAGGCTATTTCCTCTTCCTTATATTCATCTTGTTCACAATGCACACTTTATAGGGAGGTCTGGAATATCAATATTGAAATTTCCATGATGGTTCAGACCATAGGGCATTAAAAACCTTAAGATTGTGCAAGTCACATTAACTTAATAATAAGGGTTTTGTATAAAGGAACAGGAGACGCTAGTATCAAAAACAAAATAAAAATTCTTTTAGGTTTCTAATTTACGGTGACATAAGAGGCTTATCTAAAGCAAGATATGGCAAATGAATGCATAATACATTTAAAAGTACATAGCATTATTAATAGCAATAATAATATTACATTGACACCTTTTAATATTTAGTTTTAGATAATGCTGGGTGTTGTCAAAATCACCATTATATTTCAGAAATTTACTTTTGTTTGACAAAGAAATAAAATAAGTCATAAGCATATGTACATCGAATGAATTTTAAACACTTTACCTCCCCCTTATAAGCAGGGTGATTTGCTTTCATAGTAAAAAGAAAAAAAATCAGGAAAGAAAATGGCGTAGCATCACTGAGCCCACATAGCTACAGCTGCTCACTGAAAAGACAAATTATTTTCTGCTGCATATTCTCACGCTTTGTATGCATGTGTTGGTATCTCTAGCATAAGGTATCAACAAACCACTGACCTTATTTATTCTCTGTCAAAATTCAGAATCTGTATTCTGTCATATGAGGTATAAACATTGTTAACATACACAGTGTGATTTTTCAGAAAACAATATTTCAGTGAAGTCAACAAAATAAACTTCTTTCTCCTTTAAAAAATGATTATAGAGGGGAAGAATTCAAAAAGGGGTTCTGGGCAGCTGGGCTGTGGTTTGGGACTGGGCGTTGTTTGCTGTCCATGGTGCTGATCCATTCTTCCCTGCATCCTGTGGGGGCTCACTCTCCAGAAGAACCACAGAACGGTTACCTGCAGAGTTCTTATCTGGAACCACTTGACAAGGTTTCTTTTCCCTACAGAGGTTGAAGTTGAGGAAAAAACTCCTTTAATTGACTTCAGGATTCCAAATAAACATTGAGTAAACTTCAATGGGACTCAGAGCCATTGTTTAATATCTACTCCATGGCTGCATGGCTAGGATTGTGTTCTAGTAAGGAAATGAATGGCATATCCAATGTGTGAAGAATTGTCTTTCTGTTTAACACCTTTGACTTATTAAATATAACCTTACCATGGAAGATGTAAGGTTGAATAACACACTGAAAACATGTTAGTGAAGAAGAAGGTATAGTATGTCTAATTTTCATTTGATTCCATTAGATATCTTTTGAAAGTATTTAATGTAAAGTGTTAGTACTTGCAGTATGCAGATTCATCAGGTTTGGGCTATAGCATTTGTGACCACAGCAAATCAGGTATTTTTATTAGAACAAGTGATCTTTTCAAAGCTTTCTCTCAAGGTGCACTTTAATCTGTGCTGCCTATTGCATTCATACTTTCCCATACTAAGATCTGGCCTATAGATTTTAAGGTCTTGTGTTGACACAAGAAACAGAAGAGGAACAATATCCTTTGTTAGCTCATGATGCTTCTTGAAGAATAACACTTATACTATCTGGAGTCTTCAAGATGATCAGTTTTATTCTAATCCTGAAGGAGCTTCTGCAGAAGAAATTAGAGCAAAACAGGACACTTGGAATTATGCACTATTTTTGTTAAATGTGAAAAATCTGCATTGAAGGTCATTAAAAGAGAGGAAAAAAGTCTGGAGACAATGCCTCTTCATAGAAAGGTGAGAAATAAATAATAAAAATAAAAATGATTCTGGGGACATGCAGCTAAAAGAATCAAACTGTGTTTTCTTAATGACTTAATTATGACACCACCTACAACAGAGGTCAGAAATATTTTCCTGTTGTCAAACAGTAAATATTTCAATATTTGGGACCAAACAGATTTTGTTGCAATTATTTAACAATAACGTTATAGCAAGAAAGCAGCCATAGATCACATGCAAAGAAATGGTAATGGCTGTCTACCAATAAAGCCTTATTTACAGAAACAAAAATGTGAGTTTTATATAATTTTAACATATTACAAAATAATATTCCTCTGATTTTTTCATAGATAAATGTATAAAAACCACTTTTAGCTCATGGGCTAAAACAGAAAATTGACCAGATTTTTTCCCATGGTCTGTAGTTTGTTTATCCCTGGTCTACAGCAATAGTTTAGAAATAAGTACAAGGTATAAAATAAAATTGTAGATAAAAAGCAACTTTGAACCTAAATTTAAACTGTCTTTAATTAGATAACATTTTCTTGAGGATTTCACATATGTTCTTTGAAATATTTGACACCTTCAAAATATTGACCTTTCCAGTTTTGACAAAAACTTGTTCGAGATGTTTTTGAGATGTTTCATATTAAATCCGGCTTTATGGGCAACCCAATTAACTGAACACTTGATAGATGCCAGGCATTGTGCTTAGGGTGTACTTAAAGAATTAAGGGTTTCCTTTGAGCTTTAAAAGATCTTTTACAAAGTGCAATTTGATATATGTCGTATCCCTACTTACAATTATTGACTTGATTCCAATTGTCACAAGCATGAAGTCCTTAATATAATGTACATTACTTTCCCAGACCTGGCCCCTATCCTTCTTTTCAGAAGAAAAACTAAGGCATCTGCCTACTTCTTAAACTATAGGAGCCTTCTTTCAGTTCATTAAACAATATGCTTTAAGGAAAAAAAAAAGGAATCCATTGATACTCTTCTAACTGGATTACACTTGCTTCTCTATTCATCTCGTTATAACAATTATTCCTTAAATTGGCATTTAATTATTCAGGGGGCCTTCTATAACCTCTAGATAAGATTAAATCCCTTTTTGAGCTGGATGCAGTGGCACAAGCCTGTAGTCCCAGTTACTTGGGAGGCTTAGGCAGGAGGATCACTTGAGCCCAGAGTTTGAGCCTTCAGTGAGCTATGACTGGGACACTGCACTCCAGCTTGGGAGACAGAGCAAGACTTCATCTCTAAAAAATCAAAATAAAAAGATTAAATTATTTTTACATGTTTCTATAGCACCATATATCTTCTATTTCAATGCACATTTGTAATTACTTATTTAGTAGATGTCTTCTCAATTTCCCTCTTTGCCCAAAGGTAGAAGAAGGCAAGGACCTTGTCTATTACACTCAATATTTAGTTCTTACACATTATAGTACATGGCCTGGCATACAATAAGGCATGTAAGATGTGCTCAAATATATATGTTGAATTGGATTCAATTGACAACCTCTCAGTTAAATAGTACAGAACAGTAAGTAAACAAAACATAATCCTAAAAGCAAGATACTAGTTGTGCAGCCTTGAAATAATCTGTTGCAACCTTTGAACCAGTTTCTAAATCATCCTAATGGAGTATTGTTCCTGAAATTGATAATGCTTTGTCAAGAATGGATATTGCTTATTGACTTAATTGGCTTTAATAATGCTATCATAAGAGGGATCACTCACGTCTGTAATCCCAGCTCTTTAGAAGGCCCAGGCGGGCGGATCACCTGAGATGAGGAGCCATGACCTCCCTGGCCAACATGGTGAAACCCCGTCTCTACAAAAATACAAAAAAAAAAAAAAAAAAAAAATAGCCGGCATGATGGCGGGTGACTGTAATCCCAGCTACTAGGCAGGCTAAGGCGGGAGAATCACTTGAACCTGGGAAGTGGAAGTTGCAGTGAGCCGAGATTGCACCACTGCACTCCAGCCTGGGTGACAGAATGAGACTCCATCTCTAAATAAATAAATAAATAAACAAACAAATAAAATACTGAATTTTGTAGAATGCAGAAGCATACTATCACCTCCCCCTGCCCAACTTTCTAGATGCCATTACCAAGTTTTGTCCATTAAGTTTTTGTGATGTATCAGTGAAGACAATTTTCCAGAAATTCATGAAATTGTTTTTAATGGCAATATTTAAAAGCTGGCAAAAAATTAGTGATGCCCTCTTTTTAAAAGATGATGGCGTTTTTAAAATATAGAGAAATATTTATCATACTCACAGCTTCCTGTTTCATTTTAATACTTAACTTGAAACAGTTTAGACTGATGACCCACTAGCTTGAAGAAACCCAGAACTGTGCAAAAAGAGCATATTTCTATGAATTGCAAAATCGAGGGAAAAGGACTAAATTTGTGTTGTTTTAGATATGGTGTTAAAAGCCTAAAATCACTTTTTTCAAAACTTGGATAGAGAGAAGCATTTTGAATATATTTATAGTGCTTCTGAATAGTTTTCTCTGGATTTCATGTTTTCGTTATACTTGTAGGTTAGGAAAATGGATAGTATAGGTGACACACTTTACTATAATTCAATAATATGAAAAAATAAACCAGTCATGTTGATGTTATGCACACACATTCTTTCTTTCATTTCAAGTCATTTACTTGACAGTTTCATTTATTATTTTACTTTAAAAAAACTCCTTATATTAAAAATCTGAGCTAATAGCATTAATACATATGAATTATTTATTAAGTAACTTTAATTCGTTCACCTAAATATGCACAAAGACGACAAGTATACACAAGTTCAGTTTGGCTAGACAATTAAATTGCATTTTAAAAATTATACCAATGACATCATTATCATTTAACATAGGATTATTTTAAATTAAACAAACTTGTATCTGCATCCTCATATTAAGAATACTCAGAACTCGTTAAAGAGTATGAGAAAATTGAAACCATTTTATTTACTTATAAAGCCTCAAAAGTAGAAAGACTAATAAAATTCAACCTCTGAATATTACTAAGTATTCCTGATAATTAAATATAAATAAATATCTGGTAACTAACATTAATCAATAGAATGCTATTTGTTTCCTCTGATAGAGGATTAAATAGATGACCTTTTCTTAACCTATTTAAGAATATTTTAATCTCATAGCTCTCATTAATGTTTTATGATGTTAGTCTCTTAGACTATTAAAATTTGTAAGAATAACTTTACAGGTTTGGTGATTTTCAAAAATATAATCGTAATTAATTTGTTAACATGTGGGTGTGAATCACAATGAACTGAAATACACTGGAGAATAGATATTCAAGAGGGAGGCATTAGTTAAGAAGTTATTCTCATTAAATATCCATACTTCACATTTCAATATGCTTTAGTAGTTATCTGCTTATGGTTGTAAACACATTACATAAAGGAAACTATATTACGATATATTTTAGAATTTGGTGAACCCCAAATGTCACTATACTTGACTTGTGATGTTCTTTTCAAAACATATATAAACATTTCCCTCATACGAATATTAAAGCACTCATGCTTTGGTAATTTTCCCAGGGATAACAAGTTGATGTTGTGATCTGTGTTAGCCAGTCCAGTTTGGCTTCCTTTGAAAGTTTTATACCCTCTTCTGAGTGTCAGACCCTGTTCTCCGGGCAACATTCAGGCATGTGACAGTCGTGAGTAATCATAACATGCTCAACTCCTGGCAACAGCGATCGGCCCAAGAGGAGAGCACATCTACCTAAGCATGAATAATACTGAGTGTTCTTTCCTGGGATCAGTATACAGATACTAGGAGACAATTTTCCAGATTTCTGAAATTTCTAAATTGCAGCTCCTATGTCCTGTTCACCATCTGGAGAGATTTACCACAAGAGCAGAGAATAAATCACAACTCAGAGAAACAGAGAAAAGCATAGAGAGGAAACACGAAATTAAAGAAATACGTTTTACCTGCAGGTTTTGAGTCTCCAGACGTCTGTCTCTTTCCTTTCTATCCGCTTTTCTTCAATTTACTTAAGCTGTCCCCGTGATGTTAATGGTTATCTCGGCCAAATAATTCCTCAAGGTTCAAATGAAGTTTCAGATAGGCATTGTTCTAATTCTTAAGCCTATACTTTTATACATTATAATGATGTTAACCACACAAGTATTTTATTTTTAAAAAGTGTAAGTTTTATAAACCATCAACACAAATCAGTTTACTTCAAATTGGCGTTATTCATTTCCAGATATTGCCCTCCATGTGTGCACCAAATCTCTAAGAAAAAAGAGAAAGGTGAATATATAGCATATTCTTTTAAAGCTTTAATGGATGTCCAAACATGGTAAGTTGTCTGATACTGGTAAATAAGTGGACAAAAGCCGAAGATATTTTTGAGATTATTTTGTAGCCAAGGGGTGGATAAATAAAATATAAAGGAGATTTCAAAGGAAGACTTGAAAAATTAAAGGAAATAAAAGTGATCAGGCTAGCTGTGATCTGATGTGGAATTATTTAATTCTGATCAGAGGCATAGGAACCATTTATATTAACAGAGAGGTATCTGGCAACACTTTTTATGGCAATATCACTTCAAAACACTCACATTTATTTATTTATTTATTTATTTATTTATTTATTTATTTATTTACTGAGACAGGGTCTCACTCTGTCCCCCAGGCTGGAGTGCAGTGGCACCATCATGACACACTTCAGCCTCAACCCTCCCAGGCACAAGCGATCTTCCCACCTCAACCCCTTGAATAGCTGGGACTACAGGCAAGCACCACCAAGATTGGCTAATTTTTTTTTCTCTTTTTTTTGTAGAGACAGGGTTTCACCATGTTGCCCAAGCTGGTCTCAAACTCCTGGGCTCAAGTGTCAACCTAACTCAGCCCCACAAAGTGCTGAGATTACAGGCCCAAAGCGCTCATATTTACAGCGTATTTTCCAACTGCATGTAAGTAGAAAAATAGGTAAGCAAATACATTTTTCTTTAAAAAATGTTGCTAGCTCATTAGTTTGATTAATTATAAAATGACTTTCCTATCTGTCCCACATTTCTGGGTAACTTTGTCCTCACTAAATTTATAACTTCCAAGTGGTCTCATAATAGAATATGCTAGTAAAAAGTAAAGTGAAATTTTGTAGCTCTTTTGTGTTTATTAATTTAAACAAAGCTTAATGCCAGTTTTTATATTTTTCATTGAGAGCTTTCATGGCTCAGATCATGTATTAATCTTTCCCCTCCGAAATTCCCCCAAATAGATAAGTCAACAAGATGAGTGCTGAGCTTTTATTTGAACAAACCTAAACATCGATACCATTCTGCTATCAGAATAGAGAGAAAATACATTGATGATTAGCAAGAATTTTTAAAAGCATGTGATTTTGTGTGTGAATGTGTGTGTGTAACATGTCTGTATGCCTGAAGGTGTGTGGAATATGCATAATTATCCATAGAGTGATTTCTTGCTCGAGAATACTAAGTCTAAGGTAACCATACCTATGAATGGCATTAGAGCCAACTCAGGAAGATCAAATGTAGGTAGGGAATCACTCCAAAAACCAGTTAGCTGGTGTTGAGTAAAGAATATGAGGTAGGTTGTAGGACTTAGAATATCAGGTAGATATTCTATTTTACCAGGTAAATTAAAAACTTGAGTCAAAGAGCAGATTCGAAGACTTTTTTTTTAATTTTGCAGATAAAATAAAACAAGATTCCAAGTGGTCTACAGCCAGGGATTACATAAATAAAGAAGCTCAACAGCTTGTAGGTCAGTATCCAGATAGTCCAGTGCAATTTAGTTGAAGTTCACGGCAGGATTAAAAGCCTGGAGATATAAATCATATAAAGGAAAGAGAGAGTATGGTAAAGTTTTATAACTGCATGTGTTGGGGAAGGAGAAGTATGGTAGATGAAGGCAGTCTGTGATTGAGTCTGCAAGTGAACCCTACATCTGGTATTTAACTGTGGCAGCAGAGAAAGACAGTGAGCTAGTTGCCTTCATCAGCTTGATTTTTTTTGTTCTTCGCATTTTATTACGCATTCTGAACACTGTCTCAGGAATGAAAAGTGAGACCATGGAGTGCAAAATTGTTTCCCTGTCCAAACATTCTATCAGTTTTGATCATACTTTGATGTTGAAAATAAGTAAGTCCAATCCATTTGTTTCTCTCATCTATCTCTTGAGTTCTAACTATTCGATTTCTAAGCTGTCTTGGATGAGAATTAATTTTTACTCTGCCTTCCTATAGACTGGGGAAAGAATGTCTTCATGCATAAATTTTCTGTGATTTTTTTTTTCAAAATCTCAACATCGTTGCATCTCAGCACTCTTTCAGCACTTGATTCTCTGAAGGAAGGAAAGTAATGTTACAAAAGAGGCAATGAGTTTCAAGCAGGTAGAACTCCAGGTTATTGTGTCCTCTTTTGGAGAGAAATAGAAAGCTGATTTTAGGTTCACTGGTAAGCTCAGGGTGGAGAAGTATACTTTTCCCTATCCTTAGCCACAAAGTCCCTGAGAATATATAGATTATATAAGAACCATGAACCATTTAAAATAAAGTCCAAACAATACAAATAAAGAATAATTAAGCTGTCCAATCAGGAAAGCAAATTTTGTGACAGTTTTGATAAAAGAAGTAACATTTTACTCCTCAGCAATTTTCTTAAATGCATCTCCTAATACTTATGTACATTGTGACAAGAGAAAGAAGAAAATTTTAAAGGGGAATAAAGTGTAATCAAAAATCACCCTATCTGTTTATGTAGTTCATGTGAATCAAATGAGATAGAGTGTGAAGGCTCATTTACAATTTCCCATAAGATATGGTTTGGATGTTTGTTCCTTCCAAATCTCATACTGAAATGTTATCCCCATTGTTGGAGGTGGGATGTGTTTGGATCACAGAGGTGGATTCCTCATGAGTGTCTTCTCCCAGTAATGAGTGAGTTCTTGCTCTGAGTTCACATAAGATTTGGTAGTTTAAGATAGTGTGGCACCTCCTCCTCCCTTGCTCTCTCTCTCTCTCTCTCTCTCTCTCTCTCTCTCTCTCACCATGTAACACTGCCTGATCTCCTTTCACTTTCCACTGTGATTGGAAGCTTCCTGAGGTCCTTACCAGAAGCAGATGCTGGCACCATGCTTTTTGTACAGCCTGAAGAATTGTGAGTTAAAATAAACCTTTTGTCTTTATAGATTACAAGGCTCAAATATCCTTTTAGCAAAGAAAATTACCTAACACAACATATAACAAGATTGGTGTCATGAACCTTCAGATGACTCAGTTTTTTAATTTGTCAAATGGGGATAAAATGTTTATGCAGAGTCACATCCCTAATATATTGACAACAGTGGATTAGAATCTTTGGATTTTTTACTCCTGTTCTCATGTCTTTTATTTCCCTGCAGCTCAAAAAGAGTGCTGCATATCAAAAAACAATGCAAAGACAGATACAGAATTGCAACAGAGAATGGTGGAGCCTAAGGAAGGGCAAGTCAGGACTAATATATCAAAATTACATGTCTAGACTCTGTCTAGCCAGTTTCCAGCAATGATGGTTTTGAAGCAGGGATGTGATGTCATAAGATTGCATTCTAAAATTTACATCTTTTCAAGCAAGAGGGTAATTTATTTTAGGAGTCAGCTGAGAGAAACTACAACCTGAATCTTGTACAAGAGGGTCACTAGCATAAGAGTGGTAGTGCAAAGATGAAATCCTTATCTGAAGGAAGAAGGGTGAAGATGGAAACATAGGTCTCCCCTTCTTCACCTCTCAGAGGTCAGAGTGATCTAAGGGCAGTAGCCAAGAAGAAAAACCCCAATTATATGCCTGCAAGGACAGAAAGGTGAACATGTCACATGCTCCCAGCTGGACCTGGAAATGGACTGTGAAGTGGCTACTTAGAGCAGGTGTTCTCAAAGTGGGACCTTGGAACAGCAGCATCAGCATCACCTAGAAACTTGCCAGAAATAGAAATTCTTGCAACCCACTTCAGAACTTCCGGATCAGAAAATCTGGGAGCGGTTCTAGGGATCAGTGCTTTATCAAGCCCTTCAGATGATTTTTGATGCTGCTAAAGTTTGAGAAGCACTAGAATCAGAACAGTAGATCTCAACCAGAGGCAATTTTTTTCTCCAGAGGGCACCTGACAATGTCTGGAGATGTTACTTCATTCAAAAATCTCTCTCCTTTTCTGTTATAGACACACACCCCATACACACACACACACACACACACACACACACATACACACACACACACACAAACACACACACATAAAATTATTATTTCTCTTTTAACAATGAATACTTCTCAATGCAAAGTAATGATTATCTTCCCAAAGTGTTTACAAAAGAGATATTTAAACCTAAGTTCTACAAATAATTTTAAAGTTTCTGGATTTGGTGGTGTTCTTTTCTCTTTTTTTCATTCTTCTCATCCTCTTAAAATTGAAATGTTACATGTAATGTCTGCTTGTGTGTGTGTGCTATGTTACATGATACAAAAATTAAAGACAGAATACTCTTATCTGTAGGGATTTCATTGTGCCTTGAGGTAAATGTTACACTCTTTGTTTTGTGTGTGTGTATGCAACTGCTGCAGTAAATGTTTTAAGCTTTTGGAAGAAGAATAAATGGGGGAATTTCAGAATTCTTCACAAATGGATATGCATTTATTATAGATTCAGTACTTACAAGCTGTATAGATGTTAAGTGCCAAGAAAGTAGGTTGGGAAGAACAAACAGTAGGGAGAATCACATATCATGATGGTTTTTATTATCTCATTAAAATTTTCAAATTCTCCAAAAACCCATCAATGTAAATTTTACAACTTTATAGATGAATAAAAAAAGATTCAGAAGAATGAAATATCCAAGGTCACACAGCCAATGAATGGCAGAGCTGAGATTAGATTTCAAAGATATCTGACTCAATGGTCATTCAAAAAGCCATAAAAATTCTCATAAGTAATAATTTACAATGCTCTTTCATGTGTCCAAGTTTGAGGAAATGAGTCATAGGAAGAGGTGGTAGGGCTGGAATGGATAGGAAGGAGTTAGTAAAAAAATGAGGTGGAAAAGAAAGTTTGGAGGTAGATACAAATACTGAAAAATTAATACCTTAAAAGAGAGTGATAATGACTAAGATGTGTGTATTAATTTATTCTCATGCTGCTATAATGGACTGCCTGAGACTGAGTAATTTATAAAGGAAAGAGGCTTAATTGACTCACAGCTAAGGAGGCCTCAGAAAACTTACAATAGTGGTGGAAAGGGAAGCAAACATGTCCTTCTTCACATGATGGCAGGAAGGAGAAGAACGTGAGCTGAGTGAAGGGGGAAGCCCCTTATAAAACCATCAGATCTCATGAGAACTTATTCACTATCACGAGAACAGCATAGGGGAAACCACCCCACAATTCAATTACCTCCCACTGGGTTCCTCCCACTGCACGTGGGGATTATGAGAACTACAATTCAAGGTGAGATTTGGGTGGGGACACAGCCAAACCATATCAATGTGTCATCCTCTAGAGAAGATTTGAAATGTTCCCACCACAAAGAAATCGTAAGTGTTTGAGATAATTGATATTCTAATGACCTGGATTTGATCATTACACATTGTACGCATGTATCAAAATATCACATCTAACCCTATATCTATGCACAATTATTATTTATCAATAAAATTAAAAATTAAAAAAGAAAGCTTTCTTGTCTTCAGTGGATTTCTCTCTGAAATCAACAAGGAAATCATTTTAATTACAGATTTTCTCATTTTATCCTCTAATTAAGCATTTTCTGTGAATTTTCCTCACCAATAGAGCACAGCATAAATCTGTTTGCTGACACTGAAGGCCTATAAACACAGGGACTCACTCTAGCATTGTACCTTATCTTCTGTTCCTCCCTTGTCATGAACATCATGCTCCAACCACCACCTGACTGATCATTGTTTCTTCAACCATGCCTTGCTCTCTGTGACAGTGCTTCTAAAGTGACCTATCTGAGAAGAAACTAGATTTTTATTTTTTTGCCATCCAATCTTTTGTGGATCAATAATTCGTTAAAATTGATGATTAGAAAAATGGATTTAAAA
The DNA here is from genome assembly GCF_000001405.40 of Homo sapiens. Lineage (NCBI taxonomy): Eukaryota > Metazoa > Chordata > Mammalia > Primates > Hominidae > Homo > Homo sapiens. Next base: position 60,956,414 of record NC_000016.10, read on the forward strand.
GACAAAAAACAATTGTCTTTTCCATTGTTAGATTCAACCTATGTAATATTAATCTGCTAAGACTGCTATAAAAATTTCTAGATGCTTTTTCTTATTGTTTGTATTTATCTTGTCATGAATTGGTAATAAACAGAGGACCAGCACCAATTTCTGCATCAAACTTTATTTGCACAGCTCTAATGTCCTCCTTAGTCTACACCTCCTGAATAGCACCCCTTGGACTTATGAGCTCAGAGACTTTGAGGTCTTAATGTAGCTTTCTTTTTAATCTTACTGGTCCCTCTGTATGGAATCTGATATTTAAATTCACAATGCCCTTTACTGAGTATCAACTCTGTACAGTTCTAGGAGGAGAAATATGAATGATAGTCTTTCCCAGACAGGGTCCATTTCAGGGAAATAACTGATGATACATAATTTTCTAATAATAAAGCATTTTAAGAAGATGAAGAAAGACTTTTTGGACTATAAAATAATATGGATCAGGAGGGAAGGGGCAGTAGAAATAGGAAATGCTTCCAAATAAAGTGTTTTTTATAAGTCCACGCAACCAATATTTTGAATTCTAATTCTACTCCTTCTTATGTTCCCTGTACACAGTTTAGCTGATAGCAAGTGCTTAAAAAGAAAGTATGATTGCACTGAATTGTTCTCTTTTAAGTAATTAATTTTGTTATATAAATTTGCCCCAATATAAAAGAAAGAAAGCATGATTATAGAATTTTAAAACAACATTTCACATAAGCTTTATCTACAGAGCCAAAATCAAAAGATGGCAAGCAATTTTACAGGTAATTGACTTAGAGAAAAATTTTATCGCATAGAACAAGAGACATAAAAATTCAGATCAACATTTGCTGCTAAAATTCACAGAGTGCTTTCTCAGAATAAGCTTTTCTTTGTCTGTAGACATATGACTACTTCTTTGAAGGATTTCCCAATTTAAGGCAATAAAACCAAACTCTAATATTGAATATTTCAGTGTGATTAAATGTAAATAATGGGGCACTAGTATACCTCAAAATATGGAAAAGTATTGAAACATTTCGACTAAAATCAGGGAAATCAAGTAAAGAAATGCAATTAAAAATTTATTCCTCAACCTGATCACTTTGTGTAAATATAAATAAAAAATAAGTGTACAAGGCCGGGTGTGATGGCTCACACCTGTAATCCCAGCACTTTGGCAGGCCGAGGCAGGTGGATCATGAGGTCAAGAGATTGAGACCATCCTGGCCAACGTGGTGAAACCCTGTGTCTACTAAAAATACAAAAATTAGCTGGGCATGGTGGCACACGCCTGTAGTCCCAGCTACTCAGGAGGCTGAGGCAGGAGAATCGCTTGAACCTGGGGGCGGAGGTTGCAGTGAGCAAAGATCGTGCCATTGCACTCCAGCCTGGCAACAGAGCGAGACTCCATCTCAAAAAAAAAAAAGTGTACAAAATATACATACAATTTTATTGATTGTATATATTGTATACATATTTATATATGTATACATATATATATTTGAAAAATTGACAAGAAAATACTGTTTCTATCCAAGAGGTTGATCTTCAACTAAATAGGATGAAAGATTAAGTGATATAAGAATGGTGATTTTCCTTCAGTTATAGCATCGGATTCTAATAAACATATGTGAAGCTTCTTGGAAATAAAACCAAAAGCATCAAATCATAATGAGTTGTATTTATAAGGGTTTATACAGTGTGCTTAAAGTTTTCTAAGTTAGATAGGAGGTCAGACATGAAGACAACATTTTTAATGCTATCATTGTTGAAATTTTGAATTTTACATCACATACAAAACATATTTTAAAATAAAATATACAAATTTAAAGAAGAAAGTAAATTATATTTAGGTATTCAGTAACTCTGAGCATGATTCCTGACTCTTCTATTGCATCTATAAATGTCAATCACTAAAACAATACAAATTAGGCAACTGAGAAAGAGCCAACAGTGATGACACTATCCTGAGGCAGAAACTAGAACAGGGTTCTGGCAAACATCAATGGAAGCCATTTGGCAGGCAGTTTTGCCACAGCTCATTGAAACCGCCTGAAATTGTCTTGTTGCATTTTCTTCAATTGCCTTCTTTTGACGTATCTGCACCCATGGTTAAATTCAAAACCCCAAATTCACAATTGATGATGTCTCAATATATGCACACAACATGCTGACCTGTTCCTGTTTAAATCCCTTGTCCCAACCTCAAGTGGATTGCCTAGTAATTCTTTCCCTAACTGAATCATTCTTCCACTGTCGGAGATAACTATTTCACATCTTCTTCTTTATGTTCAACCTTTAATCCTCACTCTCGATTTATGACCCAGATTCTTATTTCAATGAGAAAATTCAAGCACTTTGAAAAGACTTTCACAAACTGGCAATTCCACACTTGCAAATTATCTGTATATTTACCCTTATACCCTGTTCTCTTTTCTTCCTATTAATGTGAACAAAATCCTGACTGTCTTAGGCCAGACCCATTACTTGTACACAAGTTCCATTTCCTCTCATTATTTAAATACATAAATATATCATTCCAGGTATTGCCTTCTCATTCTTGCTCTCATCAACTCTTCTCCACTTTGTTGGATAATTCTCAATGACATACAAAATGAGCTTTAGTTTCTTCAATTAAAAAGGAAAAATAGTATCTTCTAATACTTCATCTCCCTCCAAATACCACACTACTTGTTTGCTCTCTTTAAATTTGTAACTATTAAAAATAGTCAACTTCTGTTGTTTTCTCCAATTGCTCTCTTGCAATCATCTCTTAAGCCCACTTCAATTAGGTAATCACCACCATAATTCCACTGAGAAATCTCCCACATACACCACATAATGGCAAATATAATTATTAATTTATTTTTATTTGATATATTATCAGCAATTAACCATGTCTTTTGCATATATGCATATTACATTGTCTTCTGGTACAAAACTCTCTTTTGGGTATCCTTCTGAATAGCTTTTTCTTTTTTTCTTTTCTTTTCTTTTTCTTTTTTTTTTTTTTGAGACAGGGTTTCGCTCTGTCGCCCATGCTGGAGTGCAGCGGCGTGATCTTGGCTCACTGCAACCTCCGCCTCCTGGGTTCGAGCGATTCTCCTGCCTCAGCCTCGCGAGCAACTGGGACTACAGGCATGTGCCACGACGCCCGGCTAATTTTTTGTATTTTTAGTAGAGACGGGGTTTCTGTGTGTGAACAGGATGGTCTCGATCTCTTGACTACGTGATCCACCTGCCTCCGCTTCCCAAAGTACTAGGATTACAGGCTTGAGCCATCCCGCCCTGCCTGAATAGCTGCTTTTTTATCTATCCTTTGCTGGTTTCTCATCATCTTGCAAATCTCTGAACATTATACTATGAATGATTGATGGGTTGGGACTCTTTCTATAACTACTCTTTATGTCACTCCCCCTACTGTCATGGCTTAAAAAAATTTCTATCCCTGATAGCTTACAATTTTATATCTCCAGCTTGGACATTTCTCTGGCTTTTATATCCAACTTCTTTCTCTACATCTCCATTTGGATTGCTTAATAGGTTATTTCAAACAGAACATATTCAAAAACATCTTTTTGAGTTTTTCCCCAAACATAATCCTGCTCCACACCACTCCACGTCTGTGAAAGTGCCTATTTGGCCTCTTAGAACTTGAAAACATCCTTGATGTCTTTCTACCCTTCACACAATAAAGCTAATCAATCAGCAACTTCTGCTGGTTTTGGTATCAAAATATACTTAAAATTGTACCGCTTATCTCTTCCTTCATTGCTGTCATCCTTGGCCAAGACACCAAAAATAATACCTGGCTCACTGCAATCAGCAACTAACTGGTTTGCCTGTTTTTATCTTATGGTATGGGCTGCATAGGAACTCTTACTAAGACCACAATGACTGCTAAAAAATATTTTGCCCTCATGTTTTTCAAACTTCATGTTACTTACCACCTGTGGCCAAATAAAATAAAATTTGTTTTTGAATAATCTGTTTTCAGTAAGAGGCTTTTCCACAGGATTTAACAAGACTATCCTAAGCCTGAGTGTCTAATATATAAAAGTTGGTCTCAAAATGAAGACTACGGAAAGACTCACCAGCAGGACTGGAAAGGGCTTTGAGCTTGTGACACATAGGAAACCACTGACCAACAGGTTATGCTCAGACTGAAGGCAGTACTCATGGAGGGAAATGTCAGCAGTTCCCATACGAGGGAAGTAAGAAAGAGTAACGCATTTTGTCATAAAGAGCAAAACTAGGACATTCATCAATGAGTGGAATTACAAATTTCTCCTTCTATTGATGGCTTCTCCCTGACATGCAAAGTCAGAACTGCCAAAGACTAAATGGGGATTATCTGAATAAATAGTGGATTCCCAAACGCTGAAGATATTCAGTAGATAATCGATTCCCAACCACTGGAGATATTCTCAAACACTGAATGGCAGGATATTTCAGCTGAGATTTAAACATTAATATTAGATCAAAAAACATAGAAGTTTCATTCTACTTTATAACCAAATATTAACACTTACTGATGGATACTATGGAGGCAAGGCATGTTTCTCACATTCGCTCTCAAGGAGCTAACAGTCTGGTAGTGAGATAAGCAAAGGCACCATATACAAGTAAAATTGTGAGACTGCATTAGTGCTCTATTGCTGTCATAACAAATTACTACATACTTAGTTGCATAAGCAAAGCAAATTTATGATCTTGCAGCTCTGTATGCCAGAAGTTTGACTTGTATATCACTAGTTAAAGTCAAGGTAACCACAGGGCTGCATTCCTTTCCGGAGGCTTTAGGGGAGAATATAATATCATAGTGAAAATTTGTCTTTTTTCTGCCCCACAAAATACTCTAGGGATAGTAGGCAGAAATTATGTATGGGGTTTTAATATAGCTAGCACTAGTAATACATTGTTTTTTGTGCAGATGATGACAAGGTTTTTAATGTAATTTAATTAGCTCTTAATATTTGAAATGATTCAGGATCGAATGGTCAACAAGCTATGACCTCTGCCCTCAATTGGCTTATATAGCAGAGGGCAATGTAGACAATTAAATAAAAACCATTACACAATAGGATAAGGACTAAAGTAGGGTGAGTAAGATGCTAGGGTAACACAGGTTAGGAATAAATAATGAAGACAGAAATGTGTTTCCAAAGAAAAAAATACGAGGTAAAAGGAAGAGAAAGAATATTCCAGGTAGGGAGAAGAATATTTGTGAAGTGTGGAAGGTGAGAGTTTAGTGTGTTTCTTGAACTAGAGATGAATACATGGCTGGTGTAGAAACTGTATGACAAGGGGAAGGAGCGGTCAGTGAATGTTGAGAAGTAGACTAAGGTTAAGTTGGTGTTAGGATTAAAGTATAGATGTATTATTTTGCCAAACATACAGTGAATAAGTAATCTTACTCGTCAACATAAAATATGGCCTATTTTTTTATTAGTACAAATTCTGGGCAACCAAAGTCACTTAGCTAAGCACTAAAATTATAAAATAATTATATACACATATAAGGTTACGTTTACAACATGTAAGGTTACATTTATCTCCAGATCTGCATGGAGCTTATAGTTAAGTCAGATAGACTTAATGGCTTCAACTCTATTGTTTATTCCTTCATTTATCTATCATTGCATTGTTCAGATAATTAAGGATGTTAAAAATAATCAGAGATATTTTCTGCCTCACCTCCCTTGAGAATATAGTATGCAGTATCACCTACCATAAATGCAGCTGTGAGAAAACCAATGATGAGAAAATGCATGTAAATCCTTAGCACTGAGCTTGGCTCATAGTGAGCTGCTATTTTTACAACAAGAGAAATGATTAATGATTTCCTCATTTGTAGTTCTATAATGGAAATAGATAAATATTAGGAGTCCGACAGATATGGATTCCTATAGGAATACTAGATCAACCATTTATTTCCGTATGACCTTGGCTAATTCTGGCATTCCTTTTAAGTCTCAATGTTCTTAATTTTAAACGGGGATAATTGTATTGATTTTGCAGAACTGGTTTGCGATTTATAATTTAAACATACACATAATTAAATATATTATTTTATTTAATTCATTTCAATTCAACTGTCAATATATAGCACATTTTTAAAACTAACCACTTAGCAAATTTAGATTTATTACCCCTTAATTCTTTTCAATTCAATCATCAGCAATATCAAATTTTATCATTTAAATAGACGGTAGGGAAGGCTTCATAAGTGGTGATTGCCGTCTTTCCAAATGCTTGCTTTCATAATGATGGATTATCATTATATAGAGTTTAAAATGAATGATAGAAGAGAGTTGGTTTCCTGTGGGAACTTCCAAGAAACTGTAAGATATATACAGGATCTGCTTCACCCGAAACTAAAGGTACATTAATACCTGTTAATGTATCTTTCTTTTTTCCAATTTGATGGGCCATTTATTTTATATAGGTTTTCATTTACTCATTAAAGTGGTTTGCATCATTAGCTTGAACTTCTAAATAGATGGCAACATAATAAGTTACTTGCAGACGGTCTCTAAAGTCCTCCCACACAGACTCAGAATTTGAACTAAGTTTTAATTTCTGAATGGGGTCTTTTGATTAGGCACAAGTTATATTCTTGCTATTTGTCCCATTCTAATAGTCTCTGTTGACAATATGTAAAAGGAACTCATGATGAAAAGTAAGAATGGGTACTTTGTCTAATTAAATGTTTTTCCCCTTCTTCAAAATGTGATCTTACTTTTGGACACAAAACATATTATTGATGGTCTTTGTAATGAAAATCATAAAATGTTCCATGAGATTTTTCATTGAATGATGATATTTTCATAACAGATACATGCACCTCTTTTAAATAATAAAAGTAATGAGTCCATTTGGAGGCTGTGAAAATTCCAGAAGTATATAAATAGCAAAACAGCTCTAATTTAATAGCATTATTAAATAATTTACAATATATTATATTAATTTTAAATAATTTTATATTATTGTTATATAGTATTGTAACTTTGTAATCCATGTTTTTCTTTTCTCAAACAAACAAACAAAAAACACCAATAAACACACAAACAACAACAAATCCCCTTTGGGGAGCATCATCATTCTTCACTCCCCTCTTCAAAGAGACCAAAGTCCAACTAAAACTGCAACACAAATGTAACGATCACTATTGTCCATCACTCTACTATTACTACCATTTTTAGTACTGTGTGCCAATTACCCTTATGTTTGTTTTATTGAAATATTTTATTCTTCAACCAGCTCTATATAATTGGTAGAATTATCTTTCCAATTTTACAGTATAAAAACTGGATGTCATAGATGCTAAATAACTTGCCTAACATCACACAGCTGGTTAGAGGAAGAACCATTTGACTGTAATCACCACAATCTTAATCACAACAAGACCATGCCTACCACATTGGGTAATTAAGATCATTATAGAAAAGATGACCAACTATTTATTAGGGTCTCCTTTAAGATGAAACCTTTCTTGACAAATGACAAACAAATGTACTGATGTAGAGGGAATATAGCTTTGGGGGAAAGGAAGAAGAATTGTTCACTAGAATGCTGTTAGTGCTACTGGTTTGTACTGGAGTATAGTTTGATAGAGGAGAAGAGTAATGAATGGTATGAAAAAGACAAGGGTAAAAGAAGCAATGAGTGTAAGAGACAGAAAAAGTATCTCAAATTGTCAACTATAATTTCCCAGAAATCTATTTTGAGCTGAGGGCTCTGATAATCTTCCTTTTGTGAAAGCCCTTTACAATTTTGGAGGAGTTTTCACATAGATGGCCTGATTTAATTTCCACAACAAACTTCTAAAGAAAATATGAGATCCTCAAATTACTAATACCAAACCTATGGCTTAGAGAATTAAATCCCACTGTCTAGAATCATGATGAGGAAACTTTAATTTATGCAGCACATATTTAAGTCAAGTACCAAGCACTGTATCATGATGCTGAAGGAGGTCCCTGAGAACTAAGACATACAGTCTTGTTGGAATCATGGATATAGCCTGTAAATCATTTCATAATTACCTCAGTTATGCATATGATTTTTGGAACAACTTATAACAATTGCCATTTCAGTTAAACTTATCTGTGACATGACAGCCATTATTTTTCAGGGACTTCACACAGGTGAAAGCTTCTGAGTTTTGGAGGAAAAAGCAGATGGCGTTAGCTCACCATTACATTGAAATTTTTTCTGAGGTGATTTGACTTTGGAGGTTTGAATTGGGAGCTGTTAGAAGTACATACTTCATACCTTTAAATAACAACTACCACAACAAACTCTGCATTTTCCCTTTAGGCTCTTTGTGGTCCTAAGTGCACAGCTGAGTAGCCAAATAATGCCAGTACTTAGAGTTTTACAAAAGTAAGTGTTGCACATTAATAGTTGCATCAGAATGCAAATTGTGGACTTCATGGCACCTGAACCTTGGAAGTCAAAGGCAGTGTAAATCTTTGGGTGTGAGTTTCATTATCTGAAAACTGGGGACAAGAATCAGCTACATGATATATCAAAGGAATTCTGGGCAGTGAATGGAAGCATCATCTCTTTCTTCACCTCTATAGTCATTTTATTGATTGCTACTAGCTTTGTATGGCGAGCTTCATCTTCTTTCTTAAAAAATATGTTAACTGCAAATAAAAATGCATGTTTATCCTCTGCCTCTCTGTTGTCTCCTCAAGACTATATTCATCTAGCTTCCTGTTTGGTCCATTGGGAGCCCTGGCAGAGATCTGCAGCAGATAGAAAAATGATGTTGGGATATTCCATACTTTTAACAAAGGGGTCTGATCTTTGTTCCAAGTTGTGGGGAGGGAGGTTTTAAGACCTTGGAATTTTCCTACTGTTAGGATTATTATTCATTCTTCATTGTGGGCTTCCAGGAGTACACCCAAATTCATACTAACAAGATGACTTGGGGTGGGGGAGCCTAGATAGCTTCAAGATGGGGGGCTGGCCATTCTGGAAAGACCAACCATGCAATTAAAAGGCTGGGTCTCTGAGGCAAGTGACATCAGCCTGACCTCTTAACCTCTGAGGATAGGAGGTTATGATTGAGCTCAGTCATGTGGCTAATAATTCAGTCAGACATACCTATGTAATAAAACCCCAGTAAAAACTCTGGACACCTGTAGCTTGCATGTGCTCTCTGGTTGGTGAACACATCAATGTGTCTGGAGGATGATGAGGCCTGATTCCATGGCCAGAAGACACAGAAACTCCACTGGTGGGACCCTCCCAGACCTCATACTGTACATTTATTGTTTTGGCTGGTCCTGATTTATATGCCTTATAATAAAACTGTGATCACAAATATAGTGCTTTAGTGAGTTATTTGCATCATTCTAGATAATTATCAAACCTAAAGGTCTAGTGGGAGGCCCTGAGTTCGTCAGAAGTGCAGATGGTCTAGAACCCCAGAAATTGCAACTGGTGTCTGAAGTGAGGGCAGTATTCATGGTAGCATGGCTTCAACCTTTGCAATCTGTCTTAACTCTAAGTAATTAGTATTAGAATTGTATTGCAGTATTGCAGACACAAAACTGTTGATCTCTGCCCAAATACATGAGCATTCCTACACAGTTTTTGTGTGACTATCTCCAGTTTATGTATACTTATGTTTTTAAGGGCCAGCATCTATGACTTTCTTTAGAGAGTTAACTTAGGGCTAATAGACCCGCTTTGACCAGTGTTATAGGCTGAAACGTGCTCCCTCCCTCAAATATATATATATATATATATATATATATATATATATATATATATATAGTAAATTTCTAAACCCCAGTACTCCAGAATGTGACTAAAATTGGAGGTAGGGCCTTTAAAGATGTGATTAATGAGGACTTCAGGATGATCCTTAATCCATATGACTAGCGCCCTTACAAGAAGAGATTAGGATACAGGCAACATACAGATCAAGGATGGACCCTGTGAGAACACAGCAAGATGGTGGCCACCTACAAGCAAGGAGAGAGGCCTCTGAAAGAAACAAAATCTGCCAACACCTTGATCTTGGAATTCTAGCCTCCATATCTATGAGAAAATAATTTTCTGTTGTTTAAACTACCTAGTCTTGTTGGGTGTGGTGGCTCACACCTGTAATCCCAGCACTTTGGGAGGCCCAAGTGGGAGGATCGCTTGAGCCCAAGAGGTCGAAGCTGCAGTGAGCCATGATTGTACCCCTGTACTCCAGCCTGGGTAACAGAGTGAGAGTCTCAAAACAAAACAAAACAAAAACTGCCTAGTCTACGGTATTTTTTTTTTACAGTATCTCTAACAAGCTAGTACACCTATATATGCAGACAAGGAAGGAAAGCATAAAAATATGTGTTCTTATAGTTGTCCAGTAACTAAAGGCTGACTGACACAGAAGTATGAAGGCCCAACTATCTTGTCTGGAGTCAGTTCAAACTCTGAGCTATAATCTGCACCACATATTTCTTTGAAGACTTAGGCTGAAGCTAAGGCTTTGACTGAACTTGCACGCTCCTTGCTTGACTTCTTTCTACCATTCCATTCTGCTTTTTCCTGGGAATATTTTAATTGAACCATTTATACATTCATTGTAGTTTGAACGTCTACTTTTGGGTGACCCATTTTAAGAGAAGGCATTTGTCCTGCTGTCTTTCTCCCTGTGGATTACCATACATCGGCTGGTCTCTTGATCAATATTTACTGCCCCTGTCAAGATAGCCAAATTGTATAACTCTCTCCTTTTAGGTTTATTGACCTCTCCTGGAACTGAGAGTGCAACAACTCTGTTTATGCGAGTTCCACGATGCACTACTATCCTTTGCGATTTCCCTACACTGAGCCCACAATATGTCAATGGAAAAAACATTTTTAGATTACAAAACATAATAGAGTTTTGGTATTTATAGTCATTAACTCTTATTTACAAAGTATTTCTCTTTTTGTTTTGCTACGTTTGTCTCTTAGTTAAGAGACAAAGAGTGATAAAGTGGATAAGTATATAAATCCCAGAGCTTTGCCACCTAACAGGAATATGACCAGGGTAAGTCATGATAATTGATCACTCTGTGCCTCAGCATTTCTAGCTATAAAATTATGATAATAATATAGATTTCATAACTCATTTTTCTTAAGATTGAGTTAGCATATCAAAAATATTCCAATAGTAAATGTCCGATAAATGATAACTGCTTTGACTTTTATGTTTCATTGACTGCTTTATGTTATTCTTAAAAGTAGGGCTACCCCTCCTTCCATGCCCTAATAGTGAAAGCATCCATTCCCCTTTGCCTTCTTCCAGAGAACATTCTCTAGCATTTGGTGCAGTAGACGTTTGAATTTATTCAACAAATACTGCATGTAAGACATTGACCTACAAACTAAAAATATACCAGTAAACAAGGCAGAAAAAGTTTAGCATAACGTAATACCTAAGATTCATGTAAACAATGGAAAGAGTACAAATCCACCACTTTTCTATTTGACAGAGTGACTGGGTTGGGGATTGTGGATCCCATGTATGTGGGGAGCAGCAAAGTCTTCCAGGAATAAGCAGAATTTGAGCAAGGCCACGAAATAGAAAGAAAAAGCCAGTCACGAACAGGGCCAGGGTGAAGAAGTTCTTAGGTAAAGGAAATAGCAATTGCCATGGCCCTGGGATAGGAAGAATTTGCTTTACTAGGATAAATAAATAAAGTAAGAAGATGAGGAGAAAGCATTACACTTCAGAGTTCTGTGACACATATAGAAGGGTTCTCTTGAGATATTCCTTATATGAAAAAAAAATTCACCTTACATTAAAACAACAGCAAGCCATATGACTGTTTGAAAATTTTCTCCAGTGCTCTCTATGTGAAATGGGCTGATCAGATTTCTGAGAGAGATTTATCCATGTAAGCTGCAAAACACAGTCATTTATAAGTGCCTAGAATTTCAAATATTTAGATTTGTTTAGAATAATGCTGAGTTCTCAGGAAGACCGGAGAAGCACAAAGAGGTTAAAAATAAAAGTAAAATGTCAAGTATCTGCTCACGTTTGCCCTGAAATAACTCCTAGACACTAACTTTTGAAATGTACAGCAGCTCATTCAATCCACATTCCTCCTCAGATCTGTACTCTTCTCTAGTTTTGTACAGATGAATTTCAAATTTTCCCAGATAAGATTTGGTTCTGAGCTTCTAAATGTTCATCAAAGATAACACTGAAAAATTCAATTATGCTACCTTTTTTTTTTTTGCAAAAGGGAGAAAACCTTGCTATAATCAGTGAAGCTATTTTTAAATTGCAGGAGGGCAGGAATGAAGGTACAAATTAATGAGCTGATGTCATATTAATGTAGTCTTTTTGATCTTGTAATCATGAGCTCTTTACAAATCATGTTTGGTTTCAGGATTGTGATTTGAGACTCCTGGTTGCAGACATATAATTTAAATAGCATTAAAGGAAGCTCCAGATGTTTCAGGGGAAACATTTCTTATATTTAAGAATGAAGCCACTGAAGACAATCTTGCCTAACTAGCTGTGTGCTCAGGGACAATTTACTTTACCTCTCAATGCCTTAGATGCTTTATTTAGATTGGTTGATTTCCAGGGCTCTTTCACATCTGACGCAATCATGAAAATTGTCTGTGGTTGACAAATCTAGAAAAATAAGTCATGTAACAAAACGTCTCAGAATAAAGTCAGGTGATAGACCTTGAAGAATCATTTTTACAAAGAAAAAAATATAAGAAGGGCTAGGTTACACAATTTTTTTGGAGAGACCATGTCTCATTATTCTGTTTTAAGATTCTTATTGCCTACATGCTTATGTGTCCATTGAATCCCAACTTCAAAATGTAAGTTGTGCTTCTTTGTGATGAGGGATGATTAAAACTCAGGACCTTTATTAGTTCCATGACAACTGTTTTTAAATCTTCAGGATACATTGACTAGGTGAGAATGCTTTTACAACGAAGTATTTTTGCTAAATGTAGAAAATAAAAAAAAGAAAGAAAGGAAACAGGGAAAGGAAAACAGCCCAACAACAAAAAACTTGACATTTAAAAGTGATTTGAAAACAAAACAAAAATCTGAATTATAAAAAAGTCAGATCAAAATAACTCTGCAGTCACAAACAGTTCCTAAGAGAGAAGGCAAAATAACATTTTTATTTTTCTGAAAATGAATACTTTTGTTCTTGTCTGAATATTCTTCATTAAGTAGAAACTATTTATGTATTGAAGGTCAGGAATTTTAGCTTAAGTGCTAGAACAATTGCATGGAGCATGTAGTGTGATTTCTTCAAGGACCACTCAAGGAATTTTTCCTCCTTTGTGGTTTAAACACTTTCTGTGGTGCTTTTTTGACAGATGTGTGTGGTTATGAATATTTATAGTATTACCAAACATGAAAAATAAAATGTTTTGTTTCAGTCCTAGAATGAAAAGTATATAATGTGTTTGGAGGAAACAGGGAAAATGGTAAAGAATGATTTATCTTGGAAACTGAGTATCTAGTCTGGATTATTTTCGGCATAAGGCTCTGCCATTGAGTAATTTCACAGTGTATAGGATTATTAATTCCTTTTCTTAACTTTTATCACTTCAATTATCCCTGATAGAAGTCGTCTTCAATAATGGAGTTCATTGCTTCACAAGTATTTATTAAAATTTGTAAGTTCTGTGTTTTTAGTTGCAAATAGAATTCTTGGGTATTCAATAAACTAAACAGACCACAAAATATCAAATATTAAATAGAATCTTAGACCTGATTATGTTTCCTGCAACTTTTAAATTCTGAAGCTAATTATCTTTCTCATATGCTTGCATGATTTTACTGAGCAAGTGGCCATATATTTTTCAACAACTTCAGTTAAACTTTTTACAGGACCAGCACATATTAGTAATAATCAGATCAAATACATTCAGTATTTGGTTGCAGTCGCATGCCTACATTAGAGGGCAAACTTGAGAATGGTGGCTGAGTTGTAAGAGATGTTTTTTAAAGAAACACAATTGTTGGCAGGACCTGGCAGATCAGGCCTGCAAGCTTAGCAGTTTGGGAGGCCAAGAATTGTCAATTGTCTGAGCCCAGGAGTTTGAGACCAGCCTGGGCAACATGGTGATACTCCATTTCTACAAAAAATACAAAATTTAGCCAGGTGCTGTATCACGTCTGCAGTCCCAGCTACTCAGGAGGCTGAGGTGGGAGGATACCCTAAGCCCAGGAGGTTGAGGCTGTGATGAGCTGTGATCACACCACTGCACTCCAGCCTCAGGGACAGAGTGAGACCTTGTCTCGAAAAAAAAAGAAAAGTAAATACAGTTGCCTATGAGGAAGCAGGGACAAGGCTAATAAGGGGAGAAAGAAGGGCCAAAAGGAGTCTGTCTAATAAAGGTGGTTCACTAAAAATGACTGACTACTGGAATTCATGGATTAATTTATTTGGAAAGGAGGAAGAATGGGAAAGAATGAGATCATAGGACATTAACTTTTGCTTCTGCTTTTGGGTTTTTATATATGAAAGCAAAATGAAATTTCCCTTTGTCCAACACATCAGCATCAACAAGGAAATATCATCATAGAGAGTGATAGGTCTATGGGACCAGCATGCATTTGTATAAATCTAGTTGGAGCCCACATAGAACTGGCTCCAAAAGCAGTTCTATGGACAAGAGACAAGTTGATGTTAAGAATGAGTAATGTGCACATGTACCCTAAAACTTAAAGTATATAAAAAAAAAAGAAATAAAGGTAATATAGTACATTTAAAAAAAAAAAAAAGAATGAGTTATTAATCCCAACACTTTGGGAGGCCGAGGTGGGCGGATCACGAGGTCAGGAGATAGAGACAATCCTGGCTAACATGGTGAAACCCCGTCTCTACTAAGAATACAAAAAATTAGCCGGGCGTGGTGGCGGGCGCTTGTAGTCCCAGCTACTTGGGAGGATGAGGCAGGAGAATGGCGTGAAGCCGGGAGGCGGAGCTTGCAGTGAGCCAAGATGGCACCACTGCACTCCCGCCTGGGCGACAGAGCATGACTCCGTGTTAAAAAAAAAAAAAAAGAATGAGTTATTACATTACATGCAGTAAACTGTGGCATTTTAAAGCCTATATAAGAACAAAACAATATGATGTGTATTTTAATTTCTAAGGTTTTTATTAAACCGTTGAAAAATAGTAATCCTTTCACAACTGTGCATTTCTAGATTACATCCACAAACTGTGGTATGTATCTGCAATAACAGGAATCCTGGATTAGGTAAGTGCACGCAATTGCAAGTCAAAGTTTTTATGTTCATGATGTCATGGCCATGTCCCTCACTAATACCACACTCAAGTTCATAAATGTATAGATCCCTCATACACATCCTCCATCTTTTGTATACTGCTCCCATGAAATCAATCTAAATCATAATTAATTCCATGACAATACTATGTGTATGTGCTAATGCCATATAATTGTGGCACTTTTAAACGTTACAAGTGAATAGTGCATCCCACTCAGCAATTGGACCATAGTAATTATTTCCAGTGTGCGATGTACCAAAACCTTGTTAATTAAAATATTTAACTTGTAAATTTCATCTAAGGTGACATATAGATATATGGATTATCAAAACTTAAAATACTGTGAAAAACCAAGCTAAGGAGTTGGAAAGAAAGAAATTAGAGTTTGAAAATATAAAGCAAAAAAAAAAAACAGCATGCTAAACATAACATCCTCTTCTTTTCTTTTCATTCTCTTCTTTTCTTTTTTTTCTCCTCTTCTTCCTTCTTTTTTCTCCTCCTTCTTCAACTTCTTTTTCCTCATAGCTAAAGTTGAGTTATATCTTATTATATTTATTACTATTTTATTATTTATCCAAGCTTTTAAGTACTTTGGAGGTAAATATTAAGTTTCATTATTAAATCTGTCATGAAATAATTTGTGGCCATAAAAACAAAACTTTTTAACAATCCTCTGGCATTAATTCAGTTAGCCCTGAATTTATGATCTAAAACTGTCATAAGAATAACTTTGATTGAACAATTATGCAATTTACACTTTAATTAAAGGTCTGGAAGCATCAAATTGTTAAAGAGTTGGAAATGTATTCTGAGCTTAGACTGAAAACAGTATTTATGTGAATTTACTTGAAAGAATTCTTCCCCAAAAACCTGTTAACGTCATTCCTGGTAAGAATTTCAGCAGTGAAGTCTGATTTTCCGGGAGGAAATCTTTTACCAATCTGGGATAGGTGAAAAATGAATGAATGACATTATTCACTGATGTTACTGACTCTCATCCTCAGCATTGTCACTAGCATATTCTTTAAAGTAAAATGTGACGGGAAAGATATAGGGAAAGAGAGGAAACCTCTTATCTAGACTACCAATCAAGAGAGTACCAAAATTCCCAGTGGCTCCTAGGGTCTTGGAGAAGAGTTGTATCGTGACAGATGCAGGCGGATAGGCCCTATTGCATGGGTGCACAGCTTCAGTATAATTCCTAGACTACTGAAGTAATATCTAGCTATTTTCAAAAAGTTTTTCTTTCTGATTATCTTAAAACAGACTCTTTTGTGACTGTTAGTTAGGTACACTTCTGAGTAGTTGGAAGTTTTTCTTAAGTTACTTAAAGAATACACATGAACACAGCGATTTTTTAACCCATTTTTTATCCTTAGAGATTCCTTTTACATTTTAGGAAAATATGGGTGGCAGCATCAGTAAAACATGTTTTTTTGTGAAACCAATAGCTGTTTGTGTAAAAAGATTTCATTGTCAGATGTCATCATTGGTGTGATCATTGTGAATGAATCGTAATACAATCTCTTCAAGTCATAGACACTCTGAAACCAGACATGTTGAGACGTGAAGCCAGCTGGGCTTCTGGGACTAGGTTGGGACTTGGAGAATTTCTGTGTCTAGCTGAAGGATTGTAAATGCACCAATCAGTGCTCTGAGTCTAGCTAAAGGATTGTAAACGCACCAATCAGCACTCTGTAAAAACCAATCAGCACTCGGTAAAATGGACCAATCAGCAGGATGTGGGCAGGGCCAAATAAGGGAATAAACGCTTGCCACCGGAGCCAGCAGGGGTAACCCCCTCAGGTCCCCTTCCACAGTGTGGAAGCTTTGTTCCTTTGCACTTCCCAATAAATCTTGCTGCTACTCACTGTTTGGGTCTGCACTACCTTTATGAGCTGTAACACTCACTGTGAGGGTCTGTGACTTCATTCCTGAAGTCGGTGAGCCCAGGAACACACGGGGAGGAAAAAACAACTCCTGACGCACCACCTTTAAGAGCTGTAACACTCACTGTGAAGGTCTGCAGCTTCTCTCCTGAAGTCAACGAGACCATGAACCCACTGGAAGGAGGAAACTATGGACACATCTGAACATCTGAAAGAAAAAACTCCGGACACAGCATCTTTAAGAGCTGTAACACTCACCATGAAGGTCCGTGGCTTCATTCTTGAAGTCAGCAAGACCAAGAACCCACGGGAAGGAGTAAATCCTGGACAAAATGTTAGAATGTCTTTTCAATTCTGCTATTGAACCATAGAGTCTTGCTTAGAAGTCATAACTCACATTTCATGGGGAGAAGTCTTATCTACATGAAATAAGACTGACTTGCTCTACCCTTGCAAATTCCAAATAGCTACATGTTTTATTCCTGCACAGCCTATTTACCTACTAAGATACAAGAAGAGAGAAACAGTTTTTTTTGGACCAATAAAACACCTAAAATCGGATTTTTAAGTCCTTCTATAAAAATTTTACACCTCATTTAACTCATAATACAAAAAATTGAAAATATATGTTATGATTGTTTAAAAATCTTAAATTTTAAAGTCATTCTATCTTGGTGTGTTTCATTGAATATTTCCTCTTCCTTCAAACTTTTTTTTTCTTTTTTCTTCTCAAAATTTCCCAAAATTAAAATCATACTATTTTAATACAATTATCAGAAAGCAAAAATACTTCACTCAAATTTTGGAAATCAGAATTATATTTAGAGGCCTAGAAACAAAAAAACTATTTCTTGCCACTTATTAGTCCACTGAAAGAAAATCCAATTCAGTATATTTAAATATTGTAGTTATTAGTGTAGGTAGTCAGGCAGACATGAGTATAGTAGGAGAGACCTGTCTTCCAGGAATGTCAGGCAAAAACCAGGTGATGGTCAGGCAGTTGTTAAACTTTCTCTCTAAAATGATATTTAGTTACAGTTGGCACCAGGAAAAGACAGTCTCCCAGTAGAAAACCCATCAAGCTGGTGATCAGCAGCTTCCTAATAAGATTTCGGCAAGCAGGTGGAAGAGGCAAAATGGCGGAGTTTAATCAGTATATGACCTTCCTCTGGGAACACTCTATTTTTAAGGTAAAAATGCTTCAAGTGAGCATGCATACAACTTCAGTAATACACTGTGTATGTGGCCCTTCCCAAGTGCCAGTAGGTCACTGCACATGCAGACAGCCCACCCCAAGGGAAAAGTTAAGATAGAAGAAACACAAACCTGAGAATCATGCCAATGTATAAAACCCCAAGTCTAGGGCTGAACGGGGCACTTGAATCTTTCAAGACACCCACTTGACCCTCTCTCAAGTAAAATTTGCTTCCTTTTGCTCCTGCTTTACAACTTTTTAATAAACTCTCACTCCTGCTCTAAAACTTGCCTCGGTCTCTCCCTCTGCCTTAAACCTGCTTCTGACCCTCAGACAAATTCTTTCCTCCAGGGAACCAAGGATTGAGTTTGCTGCAGACCCATACAGTTTCATCACTGGTAACATAGGGAGATTGGTGTAAAGAGGAAAAATTATTTGTGTTTATTTTTCCTTGTCTGAATGAATGCTCTGAATGAATGAATGAATGAATGGTGCTAAATACATCAGAGGAATAGGAAAGTTACTGTTTCTTTTCTAAAACAAGTAGATACCATAACAGAGCAGTTTTAAAAAAATTTATTTGGGAGTGGGAGAGGATGCTGGGGGAAGGGAGAGATAGAAGGTAAACAGGAGAGAGAAAAGAGATCTCTCTTTTTCCAGCCTAAAGAGTTACTCCTAATCTCTTTAGAAAGGTTAACAATTAAGATGGCACTAAATTTCTCAGTTGCCCTTTCCAGTTTGATATTGGACATCCTGTTTTTTTCATAATAAAATGCAAGACTTAGATCTGAAGGGGAAAAAATCAATGAAAACTCTCTTTATGAGGTTTTTGTTCCTATGCAGATAATCCACAGTGTTCTATAGAAATTTAGACTCTGAATTGCATTCAAATTAAGGACAGATAATGCAGTCTGCATTTAAATTTTAAATCTGCACGTGGTACTCTGCATTTATTACTAAGCTTTAGCTTATAGAAGAGCAGATGGTCTCTGTGCTCCAGATCAAATACTGTCAAATACTTATTTGATCATCTGCATTGGGTTTTTGATTTAAATAATTGAGCTTTTGCAGTCAGTGCTTCTGAAATCTGACCTGCTTCTTGCAGCTTTTCTGATTGTGGCAACCACTTTTGGCTCTTGACCAAGGACTATTTATACAAACTTTTTGAACATACTTAATCCAAGAATGAAAAATTTTATTAAGAGTCTTCATACTCCTTCAGGAAATGGAATATTCAGTTCTCTTTTTCAAATAGTCAAATTGATAACCCTATGTTTGATTTACTAAACCATTAACCACAAATAAGGAAGAATATATTATTTGGCTTTCTTGTTTCTTCCTATGGCAGCTTATTTGCAGCAATGGCCCAATCATTCTCCTCCCTGTATTCTCTCCCATTTTCTGTGTAACTTTAAAGTTTCTCCCATTAAGAGGTGGGGTGTATTTCTTCACTCTTTAAAATTGTCCTGGTCTCATGACTTGTTTCGAGTAATAGAATATGGTGTTGGGGACTTCTTGACAGTAATAGGTCTGCACACTTCCACTCGTTCTCCTGCCCCAAACTTATACATATGGGTTATCCCAAGATCAACAGAGCCACCTAACTAACCTATTGTTGATCATGCACACTTGCAGAAGCTTTACATAAGAACAACACAGCTAAGCACAATCCGAATTGCCAATTCACAAAAATGAAAGCTAAATGAATTGTTATTTTGGGTTATGAGGCATTGGTGTTGTTGAATGTCTGACAATAATTAACTGACACAACTTCTATTTTATTTTCTACCAAGTGACTTTTCCTCACGTGGCTTAGGAGTTCAAACAAACATAGCTTTGAAAGCTGGCAGACCTTTACTGTTTATTTATCTTTGACAAATTTCTTTTACTCCTGTGTGCCTCCACTCATTCATTTAGACAATAAATACCTAATATAATTTCCACTACGTGTTAGTCACTGTGCAAGGTGCTTTGAATAGGGTGATGACCAAGGAAGAAGCCTGTGATTTATGGCTCTTTCATTCCAAAAAGATAATAATGTTCATCTCTTAAATTTTATATAAGGAGTAAATTAAGCGATGAGTATATAACACACAAGCACATGAATGCCAATTTCTCCACACCTCTCCAAGACTCTTTCAAGAGGAAAGAGCACATCACTAAGGAATGATCTCTGATACAGCTTTAGAACCAATTCTGCTACTTCATATAACCACCCGATGGGTTCCTCCTCCCTAAGGCACAAACAAAATTAACTCATTGAGACCATAGCATTGCAGCAAAGAAAGAGTTTAACTGATGCAAGTCCAGCCACACCAGGTGGAAGGTAGAGTTACTACTTAAATCAATCTCCCCAGAACTCAGGGATCAGGGGTTTAAGGATAATTTGGTGAGTAGGGGGTCAGAAAGTAGGGAGTGCTGAATGGTTGGGTCAGAGATAAAATCAAGGGAGTTGAATCTGTTTTCTTGCACTGAGTCAGTTCTTCGCTGGGGGTCAAAACCAGATGAGCAAGTTTATTGATCTGGGTGGTGCCAGCTGATACAATAAGTAAAAGGTATGCAAAATATCTCAAGCACTGATCTTAGGTATTAAAATGGTGATATTATCCCCAGGAGCAATTTGGGGAGTTTCAGAATCTTGCAGCCTCCAGCTTCATGACTCCTAAACCAAAATTTCGAATCTTGTGCCTAATTTGCTAGCCCTACGGAGACAGTCTAGTCCCCAGGCAGGAAGAGGGTTTGTTTTCATAGAGGGCTATTATCATCTTTGTTTCGAAGTTAAACTATAAACTAAGTTCCTTCCAAAGTTAGCTCAGTTATGTCCCGGAATGAACAAGCATGCTTGGAGGTTGGAAGCAAGATAAACTCAGTTAGGTAAGATCACTTTCATTGTCATAATTTTCTCAGTTATAATTTTTGCAAAGGCGAGTTCGTTAACTAAAAAGAATGAAGTCAGATTGAATGGAATTGAGATTTTGATTCTATCATTTTTACCTATTACTTAACCTCTCTAAATCCTGTTTCCTATTCAACAAAACAGAGGTAATGCTTTTAAAATATTTTTATTAGTGTAAGTCATGTCTCCTGTCCTCAATTTGTGTTGAGATTGCATATTGACTCTAAAATGTCTGCAATCACTATTACTTGTAATTAACATTCTAAGAAATTGAATCAAAAGCAAAAAAAAAATTGGTTAAATTTTTCATGACATATTTTTGTTCGAAGTTCCTAACTGCATATGACATTGACCCTTTTTTCTGGAGCTGAAGACAATTCTATAAAGCCTGTTACTGAGCCAATTCCCATGTGAATTTCACAGATTGCTTCATTGAACTGAGAACATGATCAGAACGTCCAGGAACTTCAGATCATTAGTCATTTCATAGGGGAAAACAGATGGCTTCCCTAGAAGAAGAAATTTTCACTTCCCTCAGAATTTGGACACCATTACAGAAGTAGGCCTAATTGTTCGGAGAAAATGTGTGAGTAACTTTCAACTGGAATCTGTACCTCACCTTTCTCTCAGGATATGTGTATGCATATATAAATTATACTCCATCAACAGAAGGGACTCTCAAAGACAGAACGATTACAATCGCCCAAGTCTATGAACATGGAAATGTACCTCGCAAGAATGCAATGGTCTGCAGAATGAGTGAATATACCTTGTCCTCACAAGGTATTCTATAGAAAAATAGTATTTATCATATATACATACTATATAAACGATTAATAATAGTTTTTTTAATCCTTGTCACTATTGATATTTGAGACCATATAATTATTTGTTGTAGGGGGTGCTGTCCTGGGCATTATAGCATGTTTGCAGCACCCCAGTCTCTCCCCAGTAGATTCCAGTAACATCACCAATTGTGACAATCAAAAATGGGCCCTGACATGCCAAATGTCCACTAGTTTCTCTTGTTTAAGAACTATTGATATAAAAATATCAGAATATCAGAAAGGAAAGGAAATATGCTCATATTAACACAACCTCTCGTGGGGGATAATAAAAGGCATGGAGTCCAACTTTATTTTTTTATATTAGCATAGTTTTATTGCTCACTCATTCTTTTATCTGCTTCTATATATGAGGCATAGGGCTAGAGACAATTATGAGATGCAAAAATCCTTATTTTCTCCCTATGAGAACATAACACAATCTCCTGAATTATATAATCTAATATAATTTTATCTTGTATTATAGTGCATCACCACCAATGAAATGGTACAGAAAAAATTAGCTGCCATATTTCAAAGGTAGGGTGAAGTTCAGGGTCTTACAATGGTATAGCAAATGGAATTGATGGCATCGGCTACTCCAGATGGCCAGCTACTGCCATCACACACCGGCTGCAGCAGGGAGATGCAACTAGGGCTGCATGCTCCATGGAGCCAGCGGGAGCCCAGGAGCAGGATGGAGCCACACCCTCCAAGGTGCAGCTGCAGCTGCCCAAACTGCAGCTGGGGACCCAGGCATCCCTGCACTCTTGGGGGCCCAGGAAGGCCCTGCCTAGCCTTGCAGGCTTGGAAATGCCTGCTCCTGCTGCCAGGCTTCTCCCTGCTGTCAGTGCCCACTCTGATCTCCAAGCAAAGTTCAGCCTAGCCCAGGCACCATGAACAGCAGCAGGAGGCAGACAGGTTCCTGGGTGGAAGGGTGTGGGTCCCCTGTGAGGCCCCACCTTCTGGCCACAGAAGGCCTGAAGGCTGGGGACTGGGCTACAAGTCCCATGGACCAGAGTGGGAACTTGTGGTGCCTTTTCCGTACCTGCCCATGGGCACCCATGGAACGATTGTCATGCACATCCTCCCCTCTGAGCCCATAAAAGCTCCCCACTCAGACAGAGCTGAGCAGACGTTGGGACACCAGACTACAGAGAGGAGCTACCCACTCCGGGGCCTCCTCTGAGCTATTCTGTCACTCAATAAAGCTCCTCTTTGCCTTGCTCACCCTCCACTTGTCTACATGCCTCATTTTTCTTGGATGCAGGATAAGAACTCAGGGCCTGCCAAATGGCAGTGCTGAAATTTCTAGAACATAAACAATGCAAAAACATGCCCCTTGCTTGCCACAATACAGGAGAAGAGAAGGAGAGAAGAGCCATGGACCTTCAGGGATCCCAGATCTGGGAACTCCCTGAGTCAGGACTGTGACTCTTTCTTGGGGGCCCAGTGGTTCCTGGAGTCTCCAAGCTTCTGGGCACCACTGGGGAACACAGTGGCAGCTGTGGAAACTACTTGAGGTGCACATGGTCCAGCTGCAGCCTCACAGAGAGCCAGCACCCATGCAGGCACCTGGAGCTGCCAGCCCCACTGCACAGCCAGTATGCCTGACTGTGCACAGTGTCCAGACCCCATGCTTGCTTGCTTACACACCCCTTTTATACAACCCTTGCTGCTCCACGCCTGGCTCACCCTTGGCAGGTGTGGGATTCAGGCTGGTAGCTTGAGCTGCTCGTAGCCTGCCAGGCTGAGTGAGTAAAACAAGCCCCACAGGCTCAGCAAAACTTGGGCAAAAGGCAACACCAGCCACAGAGCTTTCTGGCCAGAAAAGAGACATTCCAAGGATCCTGCAAACAGAATCAGGAAATGGATTATTCAGCTTTTAATGCTGGCTTTTATCATTGTATCAGTGTTGATATTGGAATATTTATGCTACATCTATTAGTTTGCTAGGGATGCCAAAACAAAACACCATAGACTGGTTGTACTAAATAACAGAAAGCTATTTTTCCACAGTTTTGGGGTTTAGAAGTCCAAGATCAAGATGTCATAAGGGTTGGTTTCTTCTGAGGCCTCGCTTCTTCGTTTGTAAATGTCTGTCTTTTTCCTGTGTCTTCCTATCATCTTACATTCGTGTCTCTGTGTCATAATCTTTTCTTACAAGGACAAAAGTCATATCAGTCTAAAGCCCACCTTAGTTACCTCATTTTGACTTAATTACCTCATTAAAACCCTATGTGCAAATATACTCACATTCTGAGGTAACCAGTGTGCCCTTAACATATGAATTTTGAGGGGACATAATTTAGCCCATAAAACCATCTGAGTCTCCATTTTCTTATCTGTAACAAGAGGAAGAATAATGTGTACTTCATAGTAAACTTCCATGAAAATTAAATAAAGGTAGAAAATTGGTTATCCACATTGCTCTTAGCATAGTGTCTAAAACATAACAAGTTTGCAATATAATTAACTATTATAATAATATCATTTTATTTAATTCTTTCTAAAGAAAAAATATTAACGAGAAGGAGCATTTTGCAACAACGATGGTTAGAGCTGAAATAACATATGCAGATAAAAAGCAAATGCAGGTGAGGATGTAGGCAATTCAAGGAGGAGGTAAAATGAAAACAATGTCCAAAGGCATAGAAGTCCATTTGGGATGTGGATAGTATTTCATTTCTTCTAATTTTAATAATTTTTCTATTGTTTTTCAGAAAAAAACGCTAATCAAAATGTCTTATACTCAATAAGTTCATACACACACACACACACACACACACACACATATATATATATACTTACATTCCTCTTGCTACCAATTTGTTCTTAGAGTATTTTCTGTTATTGCTAGCCATGTAACTCAGGAACTCTTGATACAGTAGTTGCATGTCACCCAGAATATGGCAAAAAGCAGTAGCAGTTAAAAAGTGTTTTGTAGGCAGAGAACATGCCATGGTAAAGGCTTACACGATGGAGGATTTTTCTGTTCTTCATAATGCATAAAATGTTTCTCGATCCCTAAGTGACTTGGAAAAGGAGATGTCAATAATAACACTGGGTAAGGCAGGAGAGGGAGTTGAACATGAGGAGACAATGATGAGCTTGGTAATAGGTTGATTCGACGAACTAGGCTGCATACAGGAGATCATGCACTGTTGCTCCTAGTCCCTCACTCCACTCTTAGAGAAGCAGAAGAATGTAGCTATTGAAACTACAGTGGACATGTTATGCTATTTCTCATACCTAGCTTCTTTGTTGACTGCTGTTAGATAAAAAGCCTCTTACATGAGAAAGATTTAAGTAGCTTATTTCATATGATCCTGAATTTCATATTTTCATACACACATATATATGCATACATATATACATATAATTATTCTTATACTTTATCAAATATAATACCACATGAAATTAAAATATGTAAAACCATCTCACGCCAGTTAGAATGGTGATCATTAAAAAGTCAGGAAACAATATATGCTGGAGAGGATGTGGAGAAATAGGAACTCTTTTACACTGTTGGTGGGAGTGTAAATTAGTTCAACTATTGTGGAAGACAGTGTGGTGATTCCTCAGGGATCTAGAACCAGAAATACCATTTGATCCAGCAATCCTATTAATGGGTATATACCCAAAGAATTATAAATCATTCTACTATAAAGACACATGCACATGTGTGTTTATTGAAGCACTATTCACAATAGCAAACACTTGGAACCAACTTAAATGCCCATCATTGATAGACTGGATAAAGAAAATGTGGCACAGCAGACTAACAGAGGAACAGAAAATCAAACACCTCATGTTCTCACTCATAAGTGGTAGTGAACAATGATAACATATGGACACAGGGGGAGGAAAATCACACAGCGGGACCCGTCGGGGGGTGGGGGGCAAAGAGAGGAACAGCATTAGGAGAAATACCTAATGTAGATCATGGGTTGATGGGTGCAGCAAACCACCATGGCACATGTATACCTATATAACAAATCTGCAGGTTCTGCACATGTATCCCAGAACTTTAAGTATAATAAGGAAAATGTAAATCAATGTCTGAAATATATATATTGGAAGTAAACTTTGTATTATATTTGTACATTAATAGCTTATTTATAATAAATTATTGACAAACAAACACGTTTTTATAAATTTAAAATCAAATTTCTATTTGGCTTCTCAAAATTCAGAGGGAAGGAGAAATCATTTTCGTCAGTGGACTAAAATCCCCTTGAAGTCAAGGCCTATTTTAAGCCATATTTTGTTGCTCCCAACACCTCTGTGCTTCTCAAGGGTTTGTTGAGTCAATGTAAGACCTTGGTAAGAATTCTTCAATTTAGACATGGCTAATTTTTAATGTCAACCACAGCTATTGAGGTACTTATATTAATTAACCTTCTTAATTATTTGTTTTTATTTCCCTATATATTGGCAATAACACTTGGTCTCAAAGTTTTGTTGTGAGGATTGAATAAAGTAATTAATGTAAGAAGATGTAGTGAAATATCAGTTCCATGATAAGCACATGATACAGGCTTTCTCCTATTTTCTTCATCCTCATTGAACAGGGAAATATAAATCATATAAATCAATGTCTAATGGCTTGTAGGAATAGAGAGAATTGCATTTTCACATAAGCAAGTTTCTGATAATTTATTATAACTTAAGGACAATTTTTGTGGAAATATGTTTCAAATTATAATTTGACTTCATATAGCCTGGAAACACTAAACACATCATAAACCACAAAAACAAATATTTACAAAGATTGATGCACAAAAGCATTTCCATTACCACTGCATTTCCTCGGGGAACTCACCTGACCTGGAAAGGTTTCTCTGTGTTGCTTAAATGAAAGAAAATATGTGAATTTCCTCCTGAAGGTATCAGAGAAAACATTTCCAAAATGCCTCATTGATAGAAATAGAATCTAGTCCTTTGTTGCTTTCAGGACACGCACTGTATTTATGATAAGGCCAAATTCACAGGCACACAGACTTACTGATTAGTATATAGAGAACGAAGCACCATTTCATCATGTGAAGCCCAGGACACAACTGGAACAAATCAATTCTAAATTTCAGCCAACTTGAGCCTTATTGTTATTTTGCATTTCTTTTTTCTCATTTTATCTAGTGTTTCATCCATTAATTGAACACCTGATTGTTGTTGTAAATATTTATGTAACAATGATCTAAAATTGGCTTTGTTATACTATACTTTTACCTATCGTGATCTCTTCTCTATTTTCATACACATATACCTCTATGTTCATGACAAAACATACTTCCTTTTCACTATAGCTGCTCTTCATGACTGTCTCAAATCATAGTTGAACAATTTCTTCCAGATTTTGGAAATATTCTCAGATTACTAAATTGGCCATTTGTCCTTAGAATATCTAAAATGTACCAATTGAACATCTACATAGTAGCCGTCATTGTATTAGTTATATTGCATGTATTCTTACTGAAATGGCACAGTAACCCAAAGAGGTAGCTATGATTAATCACATTTTAGAATAGCAGAGCAAGAAAAATAGCTTAAAAAGTCAAGTAACCTACCCAAACTCACAGAGGTGATAAGGGAAGATAAGAGAAGGTGTGCCTGGCATTAATGTCTCTACTCTTTCTGCCACTCCTGGAACAAGAAGAAAGAGAACAAAATGAAAACTGCAGGACAGAACAAACTGAAGTTTTGCTGGTTGATAGTTCTGGGTTCCATTAAAAATGATGAAGATAAAATGCCTTTAAATTGCCATCAAGTTTAAAATCTATATGTAGATTTTAAGCTGTGTGGCAAAAGCAATCTTCATTTTCATTTGCTTTTATTTAGGTCCATCTCAAATGATTTTGACATGAAAATATTCTCTAAAATTAAGCTGGAGGGTATTGAAATATAAATGAAGACACATTGAAAAAGAAATGGAAGCACAAAATTGATTTGTGCGGTTCAGTCTTTGGTTCTCTTCGTTAATTGTTCTGTCTACTCTTGTTTTTCATGGTATGCCCCACACAGAAAGCTTTGCAGAATATACCGTGATAAAGATGGTACTTTTAGTAGAGACCTATTCAGTTCATAATAATGTGTCTCAAAATCAAACCAGGTGGAAGAAATTTGTGGAGGGATGAATGCATCTGAAGAAGGTATTATCAGCCTGATGAAAGAACTGGATGGAGAGTGCATTCAGTAGCAGGAAAATGAATCTAGATAAAGAAGGCAGATTATTTTCGGTGATCTTAAACACAGCATTGTGTGTGAGTAACCAAGTCCCACCCAAGCACAAGAAGCCATGATCTGAAAGAGACCCTGGGATAAAGGAACTGAGTACAAGTGGAATATCTGAGCCTGCAATGAGAGACGCACCAACAAAGCTGGTCTGACAAAATTCTGTGGAAACATCAAATGTCATCATGTTCTTTCAAGTTTACGTTTCTTTGGTAGAATAACACCAACACAATGCAATTAAAATCCATTAACATTGTTAAGAGGATATCTTATGATCCAGCCATTGTCTAGCCAGATACAATTCTAACAATCTTTCTTACAATTTATGCTCTAGCAAACTTGGTCTGCAGGTTTCCAAAATGCAAGTTCTTTTTTTTGTGATTTTGCATCTGTGGCTCCCCACCTCCAATTCATGACCCGTAGCTCCTATGTCTCTGCCTTCCAGAATCATTCAAAAGTTCTCTCTGATATGAAACCTTTCTTGGACTCTTCAAAACAGATATGGATATTTCTGTTCCATGTTCTCAAGACGTATTAATTTCTCAGGACATGGTGTTACACTGTGTCTAAGCATGACAGGACTATGTTTGGTCTACATCCATCATGTTTACATCATAGAAAGTACCATACTCTCTATAAATAAAGTGCCTGTTGGTCCACTCATCAGGTCACAGTTTAACATCAGCCAACAATTTTCCCAGTCGCAGCCATCACTACTCTATCCAGCAGATTTGTACTGAGTCAGGACACACAGTTTCTGAATCCTTCACAATTTAGCACTAAAGACAGGACTATCAATCCATCTTAAATGGCCCACCAGTTAAGACTAAAATTACTACAGTTTTAAAAAAACAACTAACATATATCAAATACCATGTACTTTATGTTATTATATTTAAAGCTATTTGCTATAGCTAGAAAAATGCTAAACACCATTTTGTCTTTGATTGATTGAAGTGTGTGTTTGCTGAAATTATTGTTCAATCAATATTTAATCAACATATCTTTCCTGAAGTTCTTTTTAACCTCTCTTCTTCCTACCTGCCTACAAAGCACATTGATTCTTAAACACCAGTGCTTTAAAGATACTTTCTATAACCTACAAAGTGGAAACTTGCAAATATTTCTAGATATGAGACATTTTCTTTTTTTTTTAACATTTATTTTAAGTTCAGAGGTATTTGTAAAGGTTTGTTACATAGGTAAACTTGTGTCATGAAAGGTTGCTTTACAGATTATTTCATCACCCAGGTATTAAGCCTAGAACCTATTTGTTGTTTTTCCTGATCCTCTCCCTTCTCCTACCCTCCAGCCTCCAAAAGGCCCCAGTGTGTGATGTTCCCCTCTATGTGTCCCTGTGTTCTCATCATTTAGCTTCCACTTATAAGTGAGAACATATGGTATTTGGTTTTCTGTTCCTGCATTAGTTTGTTATCAATTTACTTACTGGCTATATAGACTGTTAGGACCAGTGGGAAGCCCATGGAACTTCTGGAACCTCTTAGTAGTAAAGGACCTTTTAAGAAAATACAGGTGTGTTCAACTGACAGGTTGCCTCCTTCAGGTGAGGTCTATGTTCATGCCATGTAAAAGCTTAGCTTATTCCTAGAGGGTAATGCAAATCCCTTTCCAGACTCCATTTCTAAATAAATATTATGCCTAGCCAGCCTTAAGATGACATCTCTGAATCTGTGCATTTTAGCATACAGATACATGGCCTGGCAATGTGGCCTATAAGAAGGGTTTCTCTGCTTATGGATAGTCTTGATGTAGGATTAAGATGAATCGTCCCTAGACCACATGCCTTTTCTTATTTCCACTGTGGGGGTGCATTTGTCCATGACTCCGTATTTGTCTGAGTTTAAGATAGCTAGCAACCACCAAATAGCTAAGAAATTCATTTGTGCTCAAGTAATGACCGCCAACAAAAGCCCTTCAGAGAACTGATTTTAGGTATAATGTGGGTCCGCTGCTTGTACTAATCGGTGAACCAATGATTCCTGTAATTCCTTCTTGCATTTTAAAGGCAAGGAAAAAAAGGATTACATTCACTACAGATTAGGTATAAAATCTCTGGAGACTACCCTTTGCAGAAAGTGGAGAGTTTTATTATTTTTCTTAAAAAGAAGATAATTAAAAAAAAATCTGTATTAGTAATATTGCCTATCTCTACTGAGTAAAATCATTGGATAATTGTCCAACCTGTAACACTAAATAGTTTTTACTTTTAACTAAACATTATGTGTAATTATTTTTATATATAAGAATATATAACATGGTAATATATATAAATTCTGAAAACTTGTGTTTTGAATTACATAAGCACTTAGGAAGGAGTTTGAATATGTTCCTTGAAAAGTAGAATTCATGGAGTTTATTTTTGGCCTTTTATGACTATATTTTCCATTGATGTGTTCTCTAAAACTGCTTAGTTATGCAATAGATAGAAGGCATATTCTGTTGCCAGGAGGAAAATGTAATTATTGACAATAAAGCAAAGACACACAATTCAAAATGTAACGTAAGAAGGTTCTTTATTTCTGTCATTGCATTCCTAATGGAATCAACTACACACTAATTCATATGAACATTGTAGCCTCTCTTATGCCAGGGCTCCTCTCTTGTTTCTTGTCAGTCCCCTCTTATTCCATCCACCACGTGCCTTTTGGCATCACCTTTTGCATCATCTTGCACCCTCAGCCATGGGTTTTTATTTTCAGTCAGTCAGTTTCATCTGGTTTTCTCTTTGATGGAGATCAAAAGAAGGGTTTCTGGCTCCTCCAGTTTCTTCCAACGTGATTTTTTTGTAAGAAAAACAGTTCTCTTTTGCTAAAATTGGCCCCTTTTATAGCATAAATCTGGTATAAGCACTTCTATAATCCAAGATGTGTATGATCCCAAAATTGAAGTAAGGAGAGGGAAGATGAGATGAATACCTCAGAAGAATGTAAGAGAACCCTACCCTCTACATGAAGTTAATGATAACATGATCACAGTGCAACACATCCAGTATGACTGAGAGGCTAGAAAATGGTTTTTCCCCAACATCCATTATAGTATATTAATTGTTTCTATAATTATATTATTTCAACTGCCTAAGAATGTAAATATGTTAAGCAGTTTCTGAGATAAATCCAACATACTTTTTGATAAAACTGCTTGTTTATAAGCAGTTGATATCCAACAGGCATCTCCCAAGCTTTCTGGCACAAAAGTAAGTATCTGTTGAATGTCATCACTTGTGGGTAGGTAGTAGAACATTGATTGAAAGATTTCTGGAATTGTCTTTCCTTCTGCTCTTAAGGGTGGTCCAGTGGTCAAGAATAAAGATGAGTCTGAAGCAATACTTATTCTAGAACACAAGCTGATCCAAACTAGCCAAGCACTGAATTTAGTAAAGGCCTAATATATAATATTTTTATAAAATGCTTATCATAAAGAAAAAGATAAAGAAAATCATGGTAAAGCATGTGCAAAGGACACTGATACCTTTTTTGAAAACACAAGGAAATAGAAGACAGAGATAGTGATTTACCTTGTCTGCAAGGAGAAGGAAAGCCACCTGAAAAAAATAAGTGACAAATTCATTATTACCTAGGTTCAGAAGTCATCTGGGTATACATAGCAATAGAAGATGGGTACATTTACTATCTATAGGTAATGGGAATACTGGCTTCAAAGGTACAGATAGGAAAAACATTAACCTGAGTCCTGGGAATTCTAAGTTGTTTAAAAATGAAGAACCAGGCCCGGCACGGAGGCTCAGGCCTGTAATTCCAGCACTTTGGGAGGCTGAGGTGGGTGGATCACGAAGTCAAGAGATTGAGACCATCTTGGCCAACATGGTGAAACCCCGTCTCTACTAAAAATAAAAAAATTAGCTGGGCGTAGTGGTGCATGCCTGTAGTCCCAGATCCTTGGGAGGCTGAGGCAGGAGAATTGCTTGAACCCAGGAGGCAGAGGTTGCAGTAAACCGAGATTGTGCCACTGTACTCCAGCCTGGCAACAGAGCAAGACTCTGTCTGAAAAAAAAAAAAAAGTACCAGATGTGTGTGGAGCACTGGGGAGTATGTGTTGAAGAAAGAACTGTGATCCCCTCTCCTCCTGCTTAATAAAGAGAGAGAGGTTGAAAATCAGTTAGAAATAAGAACAGAATTAAAAAAACCCTTTCGCTTTATTTTTAGATTATTGATGATGATGATGATAGTTACTTGCTATAGAAACATTTGCTTAAAAAAATTTTTTGTGGGGAAATGAAATAGTGGTGCTGTTGTTGATGTTGAATGGAGACAGTTACATCTCTCTTCTGAAAGTCTGTCGTCTCCTTCCCACTTCCAACATCACCACTACATGAAAACTCCCCCTGACTGCCCCAGAAGCATCTTCTGTTCAACCTCTTGGGCTTCTACAGAGCACAGTTTTACACACACCCTTTAGAGCAAAACCACGTTCAGACTCACTTTTCACATTGGGGAAATGGATTAAGAAAAAGAACTTGAAGGAATAAAAATCCAGCCATTGTATGAGAGAAGCCCCAAGGAAAGTTATTGAAAACCTAAACCATAAAACTAGTAGTGCCAGGGTAGGAAGAAAAAAGTAGATAGTAAGCAATATGTACTGGATTTGTGATATTTAGTCTAGTTTAACTTTTTGCAGTGGTGAACAAGAACTAAATAGAAGAATCTAGGCTATCTTTGAAGTTCTTGGCTTGAGGCAAATGGTAGCGTAATTAACCTACTTGCTTGGCCAATAAGAAATGGGCATTTCCTTTTGTTATTTTTTTTTCTGCCAAGAAAATTAAAAATTCTCTTTAGTGAATGCAATCAAATTTGCATATTGATTTATTTTATTTTTTGGGATACATTAAACGGTTTCTTCCTGTTGAGCAGGCACTGTTGCTCACCACAGACTCTGAAAAGACTGCCAAGAGGCATTTGCGTATTTAATGTTCCTTCGGTTCAAACATACTTAGTCATAATTAAACTCGGTTGAATGGCTTTTAAAAGAAGTTAGTTGTTAATATGATTGGCAGTTTTCTGTGCCTTTGACAAGATCTAATGAAATATGCCTGTGTGGTGTGCAACACTGACAAATGCTGAGATTTATCTTCTGTGATCTCTATCTAATGTAAATGTGATTATGTTGAATCCTCTGTTTTCAAGCGGTATGTTATTACTTCCCATTATCTAAATAAGAGTGATAAATATTCAAGATTTTCCTTAGATATAAACAATCTTGAAATTAGTATTCTTCAACTACTTGTTTTTAATATTAAAGTGAGTATTGTTTTGTAGGAGGAAATAGACAGACATCTTTTGATTTCTTCAAAAGAAGTATTAAGACATTATATAACAGAGGTTTCAAATTCATGAAGAGGAGAAAGAAGAGACTGAGAAACTGACACTATAGGCATTACTTTAGGGTAACAAGCATTTAGCTTGCTTGCCACCACTAAATGACAACCTTGTGTGTTTGGGAGGTACTAGCTTTCTGGTTCTCTTCTGATAAGTGGGTCGCAGGACTGAAGGCTATACACCATATTCTCCAGCACTTCTAAAAACACATGAAAACAGCCAGGCACGGCGGCTCACACCTGTAATCCCAGCACTTTGGGAGGCCAAGGCAGGCAGACTGTCTGAGGTCAGGAGTTTGAGACCA
The DNA here is from genome assembly GCF_000001405.40 of Homo sapiens. Classification (NCBI taxonomy): domain Eukaryota; kingdom Metazoa; phylum Chordata; class Mammalia; order Primates; family Hominidae; genus Homo; species Homo sapiens. The sequence goes on from NC_000016.10 coordinate 60,990,391, forward strand.
GTCTGGCCAACATGGTGAAACCCCACCTCTACTAAAAATACGAAAAAATTAGCCAGACGTGATGGCACGTGCTTGTAATCCCAGCTACTCGGGAGGCTGAGGCAGGGGAATTGCTTGAACCAGGGAGGTGGGGGTTGTTAGGCAACTTGGCTATTATAAAAGGAAAGACACCATCCAGGCTTGGTGGCTCATGCCTGTAATCTCAACACTTTGGGAGGCTGAGGTGGACAAATTACCTGAGGTCAGAAGTTCAAGACCAACCTGACCAACATGGTGATATCCATCTCTAGTAAAATTACAAAAATTAACCAGGCATGGTGGTGGCTGCCTGTAATCCCAGCTACTCGGGAGGCCAAGGAAGGAGATTCCTTGAACCCAGAAGGTAGAGGTTGCAGTAAGCTGAGATCACGCCACTGCACTCCAGCCTGGTGACAAAGCGAGACTTCGTCTAAAAAAAAAAAAAAAAACAAAAAAAAAACATGAAAACATACACATCTTTGAAATAAACTTGCAACTTGATTATAAATTGTTCTTTATTATCAATGGTATTACCTACATGAAATATAAATATCTGTTCAAAATATCAGTATAGTTTAATGTATTCTACAATTTTGAACAATTTAATTTAATTCTTCTTATTTTCTTGTCTCAACAAATTTGCTGCTGGATTTCTATGCTTTTACCTTGCTCTGTTGTCTGTCAGCTTAGCCATGGCCAGTTGCCTCCTGCTCCGTGGCAAGAAAGATCACTGACAAGACATTACTGAACCTAAATACCCAACTTTCTGCTAAGTTTGAGTTAAAATAGCAGACATTGATTAATTATGGAAATAATGGCATGGCTGTTCACCCAACACCCAACATAAAACCTGGTCTAGGATTTTTGTATGCCTCATTCAAACTAAGCTTTGGATTCAAAAGAATTTGCAAGACAAAAAAAAAAACATGGAAGAAGTGGTCATGTTCATTCTTTTCTATTTTTTTTTAAACTTAATTTTAAGTTCTGGGATACATATGCAGGACATACAGGTTTGTTACATGAGTCAATGTGTGCCATGGTGGTTTGCTGCACCTATCAACCCATCACCTAGGTATTAAGCCCCACCTGCATTAGCTATTTTCCTAATGCTCTCCTTCCCCCAACCCCCATGACAGGTCCAGTGTATGTTGTTTTCCTCCCTGTGTCCATGTGTTCTCATTGTTCAGCTCCCACTTATAAGTGAGAACAGGTGGTATTTGTTTTTTTTGTTCCTGTATTAGTTTGCTGAAAAAAAAATGGCTTGCAGCTCCATCTATGTCACTGCAAAGGACATAATCTTGCTCCTTTTTATGGTTGCGTAGTATTCTATGGTGTATATTACCACATTTTCTTTATCCAGTATATCACTGATGGGCATTTGGGTTGATTGCATGTCTTTGCTATTGTGAAGAGTGCTGCAATGATTTTCTTTGTTTTCATAAGGAGCACCAGCACATATATTGAATTGCTTCTTTATTCATCTATTTATTAAGCCATGTTCAAACAAAGCAGAAACAAAAAAACACTTAAGGTTCTTCTATAGCAATGGTCTTTAACTGGGGAGGATTTTACACCCACCCATTCCTCACCCCCCAATAAGACAACTGGCAATGTCTGGAGACAACTTTGATTATCACAAATGGGGAAGGGAGTGCTACTGGCATCTAGTGGGGAAAAGCCAAGGATGCTGCTAAACATCCTATAATGCACAGCACAGCTTCCCACAACAATCTTCCAACTCAAAATGTCAGCACAGCCATAACTGTGCAACCTGGCTATCTGGGCCTATCTGCTTCAACTTTCCACTCCCAAAGAAGTTGTGGTGTCAATGAAATATGTAGTTTTTGAAGAAAGACACAGTGAATATTCAGCAGATTTTCTTTTAAATTGTCTTGTACCCTTGGTCTTTTTCTTTTTCTTTTTTCTTTTTTTTTTGTGGTGGGGAATGTGTGTGTGTGAAATAGAGACATTTTCTCTATACTCTATTTCTGGGCAGTTTTTGTAAAGTTTAAGTGATAAAAGTATTTAAAATATTTATAAGAGTATTTGTCACGTGTTTTAGGTATTTTATCTCTATATTTCATTTCAGTTATTAGGTATTAAGATGGTCTTCACTGTCCTCCAATACATGGGTTACAATGAAGCATTTACTTATTTTTATAGAAATTTGTTGTAATTGTACTTGTATGATTCAATATTTGATTTCAGTCTCTCCTATATTAAATAATAAGCTCCAATAGGATAGGAACCATTCCTGTTTCTGCTCACTATTTCGTCTCATGTATCTTGCACAGTTCCTATATGATAACAGCTACCTAAAATTCGCTGACTTAGAGTGTCAGTAAATCAATGATACAATAAATTATGAAAACCACTGAATAAGGGAAAGAAGGAAAGAATTTGAAAGGCAATGAAGATCAGGAAGAAAGAATGTAGAAATATTAATCAACAATAAATATATTTTAAAGATTTAGGTAGTGTGAAAATGACCCTAGTCAAGGCACCTTGGTGCTTGAATTTGATTTCCAGTTTAGACCTGTAATAATTTCATAACTAAGGGTAAATTTTATAGGACAGAAAGTTGTGTTTTCACATTTGAGACTGCATATTAACCCATGGTTTTTGAGAATCAAACAGCAAAGTAGATGTATTCTTTTTAAATTGTCAAATGCATAGAAATATTGACTGTTGCAGTGTCATATTATTTGACATTATGCGAGACACTGAAAACTCCTCAAGTTACAGATGAGGATGCTAAAGCACAGAGAAATGGGCTGGAATATCTTTAGAATCCCTGAATCTAACATTCTGTAATCTTTTACTCAATAATACTAACATTGGTATAATACCAGAGTTTTTCAGATATCTTAATGGAACACTCTTACATACAATGTACTATTTAAAAAATATACTCCAATGGAAAATTTTAAATTTCCAACAAATTTTTAAAAATATATTTTATTTTACATAAGATAATGCTTTATTAGAGATGCACATCAAGAAAATAGCATGATGAATTATAATTTCTCTTTATTTGCTTATGAGCAGCTCTTGACCTAATCAGAATTACAAATGAAAGAGAAAGAATAAGAAAACATTAACATTTTGTGACTTCCAAATTAGGCTTTTGATAAACAAAATGGAACACCTTAAGTGTAATTATAATGTAGAACTTATTACATTTATAAAATCAGTTTAGAGGGGCAAAAAAGAACTAGACTGTCCTTCTTTCAGGCCTTGGGAGAGACTTGATGAGGGTAAATTTAGTTTGCATCGGAAATTTTCTAGAAAAGGATGGGGAAATACAAAGACTATGGAGACAGCAGCATAAAGTGCTGAGCACAATTGCCGGTGCTGAGTCCTAAGGAAGCAGAAGTTATGCCCTCAGTCTCCATTCCAGGAAGGCATCATGGCCCCGCAAGTCGGGATCAAAGCCAGCACGCCTCCTGAGGCTAGGATTCTTTATTTCAGCGCAGCCTCATCCTCAGTTGCCTGCGTATCACTAGTGGATGGTCCAGATGAAGTGACATCATGCATTCTTCAAGATTTCCATGCCCATCAGAAATAATCCTGTTCCAACTATCTTGTATGAATACACACCTGCTCATGTCCTGGGGTACTTGTAAAGCCATTTCTATGGTTACGGCATCCACAAGGCAGTGGCTGGGACAAAGGAAAGCCCCATCATTCTATGTGGGTGGCACTGAACATCACAGAAAACTCATCCTTTGTAAATACTATTCAATATGATTTCAGATTTCTGAGACGTTCTTGTATCAATGTGGGCATGTCTATGCAAATCTACCCAAAGTCTAAGATAGCTGAGAGGCCAAAGAGGCTGATAAACACAGTTTCTTAGCAAGAAACATGTAAGAGAGAGTTAAAAACAGAAGCCATGTTGTGACTTGGTCAACGGTGAGACAAGATGGTGGATCCCCATGTCATTAACCTCCCAGACCCAGGGATTATATACCTTAGAGGAGGGGCACACGTGCTTCAGAGGGAATGGGTAAGAATTTGCCCTAAGGGCAGGATTTAGGGCAAGTAAAGTGTCCTTACAAAAAGAATAAACTGGAAATTTCGGAGGCATTCCTGGAACTCAATTAATCAGGAGTCAATATGGCGGATTAGCATCCAAGATGGAGTTGCTTTAGCTTCCAAAGTCCTATAATCCTCCAAAAAAACCTAATTAAATGTGGTTAGCATGTTTACAAACTTATTTTCTCTCTCAGAGCAATTATTAAAGGAACCCTCCTATAGAAATACTTTTCCTCAGTATTTGGAAAAATGTGGAACAAAATAGTTCCCTCAGCAACTGGAGCCATCTGTTCCTGATGCTGGTTGCCAGTACTACTTTTGATATCTCAGTACTCTCATTTGTCCAGCTCTCTGCTCCTGATGCTTTCCTTCCTTACATCCTTACTGAAATGTGTATTGTTTTTTCTTTAAAGCCACATGCCACAGTTTTGCAAAAAAGAACTCTGCTCCATTTATCCAGATGTTGGAATCCTGAGGACAGTATCTCCCAAACTGGAATCACAAAGCCATGGATATTAGCAATGAAATTGAGGACTCAACAAACTATTTTCTGTATTCCACAGCCCAAATTAAAAAAAAAAATTATCATAGCTACTAGAGGATAGTCCCATCTTTGAGACTATATTCCAGGGTGTTTTAGGGTATGTATGAGAGTTTTATAGAGAAGTGCCACATTTTCTGTTTTAGCAGAAGGATGAAGTTATTTTGGAGAGAGCTAGAACTTTGTAACACTGAATTTGAGATGAAAATTGAGATTCTTGTATCCTGGATGCAGGTGAATAGTCTATTTCGTTTCATCTATTGAAGCATATCAGTGACTACAGATCTCAGAGTCAAAACAAGGTGTTTGGGGGGACAATAATTAGAAACTCTCTTTAGCAAAAATATCACTTGGATTATGGGTTTATTATTCCAACATATATTGTGATAGATAGAATAATACACTCATGATATTTTATGGCTCATCTATCAAGAGGAGCTCATCTATTTTATTATTATTATTATACTTTTTAAGTTTTAGGGTACATGTGCACAACATGCAGGTTTGTTACATATGTATACATGTGCCAAGTCCAACAATGATAGACTGGATTAAGAAAATGTGGCACATCTATTTTCTTATGCCTTGAATATGAGCTGCTCATAGAAGTTGCTTTGACCAACAGAATGTGGTAGAAATGATATCGTTCGACTTTCGAAGCTAGACTTGAAGATTCTTACAGCTGCGGTTTTCATCTCTTAAAATCGTGACCATCATGCTGTGAATAAGACTGAGATGAAAGCTCATGTAGAGAGGGAGGCCCATAATTCCAGCCATTTTGTCTGTCCCAGCTGAGATCTCAGACTTGTGAGAGAGGCCTCTCAGACCATCCCACTCCCACTGAGTCACCAGCTGACTGAGTATGCATGAATGAGCGCAGTTGAGACCAGCAAGAGAACTGCTCAAGCAACTTTAGAATGATGAAGATCATAAACTGTTGTTGTTTTAACCCATTTAGTTTTGAGGTGAATTTTATACAGCACTAGCTAATAGAAAAGTGTTTACAAAATTAATCTTATTAATAAAAGAAATATTTTAAAACATGGGCAAAAGAGATGAGGAATTTAAAAAGACATTTTGAAGAGACAAATGCTGATGATCCCTGTTTCACAAGCCACTTATATATTAGAAGAGGAAAAAGTGTACACCATCAAAATGCAACTTGGGGCAAGATTTTGGCAGAAAGTCTAGATTGAAAAGGAAATGTACAATTACACTGAACATGCATATTCATAGGCTTGCCATAACATAAATGTATATAGATAGCTATTTTCTAACATATATAAATACAAGGTGTTTTGACAGATATGACAGATATGCATACCTATATATCTATTGCTATCAGTGTTTTTAAAACTAGTATGATGGATGTTCATTTACTGCATTTCATTATTTTTTAGTCATAGTATACCCAAAGAACAACCGCATCTCGTTTTTAAAATAAGGAAACAATTTTTGCTTTCCTGTTAACCTCTGACAGTGTAAAGTAAAATGATTCATTAAATACATACTCTATGATTATTTATGAGATGCTAACTAGATATGTGATGTGCTAATTATTAAGAAAATGCACATTTCTAACATCTCCAGGTGTCTCTCTAATTCCCCTTTTATCCCCCAGGTGTAGTTGCTCTCCCTCTGAAAGAACTTTAGGGTATTACACAATTTCTGCCGTGCACTAAAAGAAGTTCAAGAATAAAACTCAAAAAGCCATTACACATTTTAGTTAAGATAATGGTGACTGAGTTCACAAAATAAAAATGAAATAATATTTGCTGTGAGAAGGAATGAATACTCATAACATTCTTTAGGTAAAAAAAGTTTATCACATAGTGTGAACAGTATGACCCCAATGTTGAAAAAAGGCAACATAAAAAGCTCAGCAAAAAGATGAGAAGATTATATGTTAAAATAATATTTCAAATATAGAAATTAGTTTTTTTAAAAGTACTTTCTCTCTGTTTTTGTAATATTTCCAAATTTTAAACGTAATTATAGGTTGAATATCCCTTTTTCTGGTCATGTATTTTCACTTCTTTTGGGTAAATACCAAACATTATAATTGCTGGGCCATATGGAGTTTGTTTAGTTTAGTAGGAAACTATCAAACTGTCTTCCATAGTGGCCGTGCTATGAGTGTTCTTGAGGCTCCAAATCCTCACCAGCATTTGTTGTCAGTGTTCTGAATTAGAGCCATTGTAATAGGTGTGTACAGGTATACCATTGTTGTTTTAATTTGCATTTCCTTCATGATATATGATGTAAAACAAATTTTAATATACTATTTGTATGTGTATATCTTCTTTGGTAAGAATTTGAGTAAGATTTGTAGCTCTTTTAAGAATTTTTTGTTTGTTTGTTTTTCATTGTTGAGTTTTAAGAGTTCTTTATGTATTTCGGATAATAATCCCTTATCATATTTTTTGCAAATATTTTCAACCAGTCTGTCATTTGTCATTTTATTCTCTTAACAATATCTTTCAAAGAGCAGGAGCAGGATTTTTTATTTGAATGAAGTCTAGCTTATCAATTCTTTTTTTCATAGATCATGCTCTTGAAATATAAAGTTATCGCCAAACCTAAGACCATCTAGATTTTCTTATTTTGCTGTTATCTTCTGAAAGTTGTAAGTTTTGTGCTTTACATTTTGCTCTATGATTTATTTTGAGGAACTTTTGTGAAGAGGAGTGTTAGGTCTGTGACTAAAATATTTTATTTATATTTTTTGCATGTGCATGTCCAGTAGTTCTTGCACCAGTTGTTGAAAGAACGGTCTTTGCTCCATTTTATTACCTTCATTCATTTGTCAAAGATCAGTTTACTATATTTATGTGGCTCTATTTCTGGGCTCTCTATTTATTTCTGTTGATTTATTTGTCTTTCTTTCTTTTTTTTTTCTTTCTTTTTTTTTTTTTTTTTGCCAGTGCTACACAGTCTTGGTTACTGTAGCTTTATACTGATTGCTACCCTGAAACTGGGTAGTGTCAATGCCTCAGTTTTGCTCTTCTTCAGTATTGTGTTGACTATTTTTGGCCTTTTGCTTCTCCATATAAACTTTAGAACTACTTTGTCAATATCTACAAAATAACTTGGTGGTACTTTGATTGAGATTGCATTAAAAGTATATATCAAGTAGGGAAGAACTGATCTCTTGACAAGATTGAGTCTTCCTATCCAGACACATGGAATAACTCTATTTGGTTCTTTTTTTATTTCTTTCATCAAAGTTTTATAGTTTTTCTTATATAGAGCCTGTACATATTTTCTTAGATTTAAACCTAAATATTTCATGTTGGAGAGTGCTAATGTAAATAATATTATGTTATTAGTTTTTAATTTCATTTGTTCATTGCCAGTACATAGAAATGCAATTGACTTTTGTATATTAACCTTGTGTCTTTCAATCTTTCTGTAAACACTTATTAGTTCTGGGAGTTATATTGGTTGGTTCTTTTGTATTTTCTACATAAAGGATCATTTTGCCTTTAAACAAAGAAAGTTTCACTTCTTCTTTTCCAGTTTATATACCTTTTCTTATCTTGTCTTACTGCATTAGTCACAACTTTTAATACAATGTTGAAAAGCAAGGGCAAGAGGGGTTATACTTCCCTTGTTCTTAAATTTAGTGTAAAAGTTTTTAGTTTCTCATCATTGAGTATGATGTTAACTATATGTTTTTTGTTGATAATCTTTACTAAATTGAGAAAGTTTCTCTCTAGCCATAGTTTACTTAGATTTTGTCTTGAATATGTATTGTTTTGTCAAATGATTTTTTGCATCTATTGATATAAACATTCAATTTTTCTTATTTAGCCTATTGATGTGATAGATTACACTAATTGGTTTCTGTAATGTAAGTTTTAATTCTAATAATTTTGGAAACTTTAAGTTTGTTTCTCTAATTACCTAACTAATGTGTAATGACTACTAGTACATTGACTGTAAGTTCCGTGAAGTCAGGACAATGTTTCTTTCTGCTCATGATTTGTCACCAGTGGCAAGCAAAAAATTGAAAGGTGATAGATAATCAGTAGATATTTGTTGAATAAATGTATAAGTTTTAAAATGAGTTAATTAATGAGGCATTTTTATGGCTTGCTAGTAGTATATTTACGATAGGCGTATGAATGTTCTCACCCTAGTCTTTTAGCAAAGTAGAATGTAAATGGCATCTATTTGAATAATAAATTGTTAGCTGATATTGTTACTGAATTTTTTATTAATACAAAATTTGAATGAAGATGTTTGTTTGGAAAGTTGTTCGGCGTCATAGTAAAAGTATGTGTGGTAAATATAGATTAAAGCAGAACAAAACTGATCAATATATGTATTATGATTTAAAAAACCATGCAGGCTAATCAGAGCTTAGATTTATCTAGGTAATGAGATAAGAAACAAAGGAGGATTTGGAATAAAAATTTGAAGCAAGTGTACTGACAGCAGGTTTTATTGAGAAATACGATATTTTATATTGAGGATTTACTGTTCCCTAGATTGTAAATATGAGACATTGTTCCAATGGATAATAAGGAGCTAAAGTCCTGCTAAGATTATACCAGAAAAATTGCAAACCAAGGTCATGGATAGGACACACAGTACCATTTTTTCCCTGGGGCTTGAACCTTCAGAGTATCAGTAAAGCCTTTCGGAAGAACAAGACTGACCGCTGCACCGTGATGGAGTTTACAAACCTATCTAACAATTTTATTGATTTGATTGGTCATTAACTGAAACAACTGATTATTCAATAACATTGACTTGTTAGTTTAGTAAACAATTGAGCCATTAATAGCATGTATTTCTCTAGCCGAATATTTCATGGTCAAGGAGAGGACAAAAAATTCTTGGATACAACACACTTTGAAGAGTAGTCATCATTGGCTTTAAATGGCAGCAAAATTCAGGAAGAAAGAAGTTTTCTTCCTAAACTTTTATGCTTAATTTCTCCATCTTTCCCCCTGATTGTCTTAGATATTCTGCTTTGATGCTTTCCACCCAAAGTGTAAGTTAACTGGAATATAACAAAGAGAATGACTGTTGGTTCCAACTAAGAGAAAATAAGGCCACCATGAGTGGTGTGTAGGAAAAAAGAAGATGAAGTATAAAATCATAATTCAGGGATCCATGTAAGCCAGTTGAGATAATGTAATTATTTTTAAAAAGAAAATAAAATACTAAGAAATAGAAAAGGATTGACAAAAGTAAATATTTGAAGGTACTGCGACTGATTCCCAAGAGAGTATTCAGTAAGCATGAAAGATTGAGAGCTGTAATTAGACATGAACTGTGGGAGAAAAATGGCAAGTTACTGGAAACAGATACATCTACACAGGGATGGAAAGATCAAATATTTGAGAAACTTCATCGATCTTAGATTACCAGCCAGATAACAATTGTCAGGTGTTTTTTGAAAGCATGAACTCTGAGGTCAGAATGCCATATCAGTTCCACTATTTCTTGTCCATGGCCTTGGGAAATTATTATATATCTCTCTTTTCATCAATTTCCTCATCTGTTGAGTAGAACAATAATAGTATTATAATAATAGTTTTTAACTCATAGGACTATTGAGAAGGATCCATTAAATAATGTTTGTAAAATATGTATACATGCTTATAATAGTTGGATGCTAAGTTTCATCCATTTACACTTAGCTCTTGTTCCTGAACACAATTATATGCAAGACTCTTTGCTCTGTTCCCAGAGAATGACTAGCTTTGGAGAACAGTCAACTGATGACTTGATGGGAATTACTAGTTAACCCCTTTCATTTTCCCCTCAAGTCAGCTGCTATGATGTCTCTTAGAGGTCCCCAATGGGGCTGAACTCCAGTCGCGACGGTGGTTATCTTCCCATTAATACAACCTATGTTGGTTTCCTGCCCTCCTCTATGTCACTTTTACATGCCTTCACTAGTACGTCCTGAAGTCATTTTCCAAATAAACTGCTTGATCTGAGCTATTTGTCTTAGGATCTGATTCTGAGGGAACCCAAAGTAAGACACTGATTAATAAATGTAAGTGACTATTATTACCTATTGGAATACATTTGATTCATGCTGAATTATGTTCTGTGCAAATTTTCTGAAAAATGTATTGCTCACAGAAAGTGTTGATTACTTTTCTTCTTTCTGCCCTTAAGGACTCAAGGATTGATAATAACTTATGTATTTTCAACTATTTTCTTAATATTCTGGATTATTGCCCAGCTTCTCTACTGGAGACTTTGTGATATGATTCAGAGACAAACCAGGTAGGTATGCCAGCTGCACATTTTCCAGGAGACTTTTATTTAAATCTTCCTTTTGCTTTTATCTTAGCCTGTATTCCCATGAAAGATGACTCCAGAAACTTCAGAAGGATTGCTGGTCATTTAGCCACACAAACCATACTCTCCCTGTCTCCATGAACCTCCAGTATATTTAGTAACCACAAGAATTTCTGAAAATCATTCAGACAGATAAGCGTTCCCTGAAACATTCATTCAATGAGTGTCTCTAGAGGCCCTATTAAAGCACATGAAATGAGGAGTAAACAGCCAAACAGGTAAATATCTAATCTTGATATGTAAAAACACTGTAAGAGTTCAGGAAGGATAACTAACTCTGACTCGGAGATACTGAAAGAACAAAGAGATTGGCCAGGTGCAGTTGACTCATGCCTGTATTCCCAGACTTTGGGAAGCTGAGGTGGGTGGATCACTTGAGGCCAGGAGTTTGAGAAGAGCCTGGCCAACATGGCAAAACTCCATCTCTACTGAAAAAACAAACAAACAAACAAACAAAAAAACTAGCCAGGCATGGCAGCTCACACCTGCATTCCCAGCTACTCGGGTGGCTGAGGCATAAGAATTGCTTGAAGCTGGGTAGCAGAGGCTGTAGTGAGTGAAGATGGCACCACTGCACTCCAGCCTGAGTGACAGAGCAAGACTGTCTTAAAAAAAAAAGGTTTGAGTGTCAAAGATAGAATAGGAGTTTGCCAATGAATAAACATTGAAAATTGAGACTCAAAATAGAGTTAACACTGTATATAAAGGCCTTGGATTTTGAAAACTTGTGGAGAGTTTCAGTGAGGCAGAATCACAATCCCATGTGTTGTGGTAGAAGATCATTCTTGAGAGAGGGAGAAGGTGTTCTATGCTAAGGCCATGGATCTCAAAGGTTAACGCACATGAGAAAAACCTCAGGACATGTTAGACCACAGATTACTGGGCCTTACTGAGACTCTGATTCAGTAAATTAATAACTTACATTTTTAACAAATCCCCATTTGATGCTGTTGCTTCTGGTCCAGGGAAGACACTTTGAAAGCCACTGTCCTAAAGCAATATTGTGCATTTTATATTGCAGGTATTGATACTGGCAGATATTAATTTTAATCATGCTTTCCAGAAGCATGTAGATTAATTCTAATCCCTCTTTTACCACATCTTCAAGATTTTGCAAACCACTTTCATATAACAGCTAAGTCCACTTCCATCCGGAATAAATTTAGCTTGTTCCATGAAATATTCTTACATCCCATGGCTATCAGAACACTTACTATCCTGAGAATGCCCTAGTTTGTTTTAAAATATAACTAAATATAGTGCCAAAAACATAACGTGCTATTTTGCATGTGATATGGCCAGGAAAGATTGCAAGGAGATGAAGTTTGCCTTTAGACAGACCATATGCTCTTACTGATGTCGTCTAAACGTGGTGTATTATCTGATTTAGCAAGAACAAACTACTATTTAACATTGTGCTTGTTTCAACAAAAGCCCTGGGGATTTCCTTCTGCAGGAGTGTACTTGATGACAATTAGGAGGTGAAAAAGTGTCTTTTCTATTTATGATAACAAATGGTTTTGTTTACTTCTGTATTTTCAGCATCGAGAGAAATGCCTGGCACACAAGAAGTGCTCAGGAAATATTTGCTAAGTAAATTATCAAATGAATGTCAGGCCTTAGCTCATGTGTTTGCAAATTTCACCAGGGTATTTAAACAGTATATCCAAGTTAGACTTTTTTCTCCATTCACTGAGTGTTGCTGTAAGAAATGGCTTCATTGAAAGCCTGACTACATCCTTCCCCTTTTCTTATCTTCCCACTCACACAGATGCTTACATGAAGTACTTACAAAGATTTCTGTCTTCATGCTTCTTCTGTGATAACTTGAGAATCATATAAATAACAGAATTTGGCAGCAATGTCAAGTATTCTGTTAAATATGTTGAAATATTGATTATTTAAGTCAGTGACCACCTTTCATATATTTTTCTCGTTGGTCCTAAATATAGTTCCTAAGTAAAATGAGTATGATAAGAATTTGAAAGTAAAGGCACCAGCATTATGTGTGTTTATGTTATGTACATTTTAAAAATTATCTTTACTTCTTCTAAGAATCTAGTGAGGAAAGTATTTCTATTTCCATCTTATTAATAAGGAAATTCAGGCTCAGAGGCATTAGGTAGATTACTCAGAGTTATACAGCTATGAAGTGGAGGATTTAAATGGAAAGGATAAGTAGATTATAGATACAATCCTGTCATCTATGTCTTGACTAGTATTGATAGATAGAACCTCTATCTAACAGGTAAGGTTGACTATAAAAATAAGCAGATGGAGATAAGAACACTTTTTTTTTTTTTTAAAGACAGAATCTTGCTCTGTCACCCAAGCTGGAGTGCAGTGGTGCAATCTTGGCTCACTGCAACCTCTGCCTCCTGGGTTCGTTATTCTCCCGCCTCAGCCTCCCAAGTAGCTGGGAATTACAGGTGCCCACAACCATGCCTGGCTAATTTTTGTATTTTTAGTAGAGACGGGAATTCACCATGTTAGCCAGGCTGGCCTTGAACTGCTGACCTCAGGTGATCCACCTGCCTCGGCCTCCCAAAGTGTTGGGATTACTGATGTGAGCCACCACACCTGGCCCAAGAACACTTCATTAAATGAATCTGTCGGTGGAAGAACCTCTACCTTCATTAGAAATACTCTGAGTAGAGACAATTATTAAAACTTGGGGAACAACGCTTTTTAAATCTTATCACACATTTACTATGTGTTAGAGACTCAGAAAAGGAAGAAGAATAAAATTTTGTTGAGATATTAGGTTGTTGCAAAAGTAATTAAAGTTCTTGTCATTAAAAGTAATGGCAAAGGAATAGATGTTGTAAATAAAATGCAAGGCAGAAATGAAACTGGAAGGGGTAAATGAGAGAGCCTGGAGGAAAACAATCCATTAGAAATCTTAGAAATTGTTGTATATATAATATATATATATATATACTATATATACACACACACACATATATCTGATTTTACATATAATTGATTATATGTGTGTGTATGATTAGTAACTCCAAACTGAAGAGTAAAGGAGAAAATCAGTGATTTTAAAAAGAGCAGTGAGAAATTCATTAAAAACTCAGCCAAAAAAGGCAAAAAATATATATTTTAAATGAAACATTTGGAGCAATGGAAAACAGACTGAATATTGCAATTCTATCTTGTAGGTGGTGTTTCACAAAGAGAAAATGGAGGGAAAGGTGTGGAAGCGACATTTAAAAAGGAATTTAAGTTTATGTTTCCACAAATGAGGAAGGCATTGTTTCCTAGCTCAAAGAGTTTCACTGAATCCCATGCAGCATAAACACACACAAAAATTTAGCCTAGACACATTTGAGTGAAACTATGGATTAGAGGAAACCTTACAATTTGCAGTAAATAAGGGATTATTATTGACACAGTGAAGTATACTAACAGCTGACTTTCATCAACAGTAATAGATGCCAGAGCATTATATGATATCATCTCTAAGTGAGCTCAGGAAAAATAAGAGACATATTAGCTAGTTTATTCTGCCTTTCATCTTGAAAGTTAAATGTATTTTTGAGAGTTAAGTAAATGACATCCATTCAGGAATCCTCAAAAAGAGAAATATAAAGAATGCACTTGAGTAAGAATAAGAGGAAATCCAGAAGGAAGTGAGACAAGATAGGAAAAAGCTGAGCAGAGTTAAAGGGGCTAATATTTTTTATGATTAAAAAAAGTAAAACTAAAGTTTCAGACAACAATAACAAACTATTACAGAATTTCCTAGTGCTGAAAATGTGCTAAAATGTTTACCATGTTTCGGTCAAGGTTAGAAATACCAAATGGCTAGGTTTGTTGATAGCCTTTTTTTTTTCAGTGTATTGTTTTTAAAGCAACATATTCACTAAAGAATAGAAATTCAAACTTTACTTATAGAACATATAAATAGAAATAAAGAAGAACCTAAAATTTTTAAATCAACAAATGATATAGGAGAAAAAAAGTGAAGAACAAAGAATGATCAACAGGCATCCTTAGTATATGTGTTAAATCAAAATATACAAATAATTATAAATATAATTATAGTATCATGAATTAGAGCCAGAAATTTTCTGATTAGATTTTTAAAGAATTCAACTATATTATGTTTCTAAGAGACATAATATTTCAAATTACACAAGGCAATAAAATTAAAGAGCTGGAAAAGACAATATCCATACAAACATTAAATAAATAGAGCTATGGAGACAATATTAATATCATAAAGACTGAAGTTTAGGAAACAGCATTAATAGAGATAAAAGATGTGAAACTTCTATGTTCTCCAACAGTAAATTTGTAATTGAACTGTTGTATATTTATAAAATAGAAATACTGTTAATCAGTAAAAATGAATAAAATATATCAACATGGATAAATATCCAATATAATTCTGTGCAGGAAGAAAAGGAGATTAATGCTACATACAGGATTATATAAAGTTAACAGCATTCAAAATACTTTAGAATGATAAACACAAATTTAGTACAATGGTTACCCTGCAGACAGGGACTCTGATAAGAGTTTAATTACAAAATCTTTGAAACAAGTGAAAACTCTAACAAAGTAGAGATAAGATAGTAAAATGTATTTTAATATCTCAGCACTTTGTGTGTATATGCATGCATGTATGTGTGTTTGTGTGTGTGTGTTGGATAGAGTAAGGACAAACTTCCTATTTGAATCTTCAACATATGTCTCTCCTGAGACTAGGACACCAAGCCATAATTAGCAATCCAGGCCACTAGGCAGAGGAATGAGGAAATCAATATGAGAAACCCCTTTCTGTAGAGGTTTCAACTCTCAGAGGCAGTGACTTGAGCTTTGCCGAGCTTGTTCAGCCCTTTACTAACCTCCCTTCTGCTCTGATTATTCTAGGCAGCTCATTCCCATCAGTCCCCCTCCTCACAGAGCTCCTCAGCGATAACACAAACCCAGTTTGCATCTGTCAGGCTCTGCCTGAAAAGCTCTAAATTCATACAAATGTCACTTCTCAGCCTGTAAAAGCCAAAGAAAGGTTCTTTCATTCAACAGATGGGCCACAGGCAAATAGTGAAAGAAGGGGTCCTGATGTTTTCCTTTTTCAGTAAGGTAATTTCAGTAATTTACTCTTACTTCCAAAACATTTGTTTTTCTTTTTTTTTTTTCACTTAATATTGGTGCTTACTTTCCCTCATGTGGCTTATAAATAGAACAATGGCAACCTTATTCAGATGATATCAATAGAAAGACAAGATGGTGCATTAGAAAAAGCTCAGACTTTGGTATTAAGTCCAGCTTTAAATCCCGGACCATCCACTTGACAGCTGGGTGTTTGGGAAGTTGTTTTTCTCCCAAGCTAAAGAGTCTTCACTTACTGGTTCTGCTTGGTCTGACTCTTCCACCAGCTAAGATGCATCTTGCTCCAGATTGCCCTTTGATTTTCTGTTTTTCTGCCACAACCATTTATATTTCCTTTTATGCTTCTCCTTGCCACAGTGACTTTGCACAAGCTCTAGCTTTGCTTGGAATGACACCCATCTCAAATCTCACTCCACTTCACGAAGTTAACCCTTATCCTGTCTTCAGACTGTGCCCGATCATCATTTTCTCAAGAGCACCTTTTGCACCTAGGTAAATTTCTTCTATAACATATTTTCAGAACCACATATCCATTAAAATATTACAAAACCATTTTTTCAGTGCTTATTTTATTAAATTCTGTCTGTACCACATAATGATGTAAAACTAGGAGTGTAGGAACCATTTTTACTTCATGCTTCCAGCACTTCATTGTCCTTCAGAACTAGTCCTTCACTCAAAACTTAACTGTCACTTGAAAGCACAGTGTACTACCTGCCTCTTACCGGTTCTTCCAGGCTGAGTCTGTGGAATAGCAAAGAACCAAAAGTTAATTCCTGCTACCAGAGCTCAGCAAAACTTCAGAAATAATAGTGTGAATGCTTTCGCTAATGAAAACACCTCGTTTGCTTTTTAAAAAATTAAACTTTATTTTCAAGTAGTTTTAGATATCTAGAAAAGTTACAAATATAGCATATGCATTCCCATATAAACTACACCCAGGTTCCCTTGTTGCTAACAACTTACATTGCTATGGTACATTCGTCATAACTAAGAATAAACATTAATATGTGAGTGTTAAAGTCCATGCTCTATTAATATTTCTTTTGTTTTTACTTATGTCTTTTTTTGTTGTTCCTGGACCCCATCCAAGATATCACATTACTTTTTTTTTTTTTTTGAGACAGAGTCTCTCCCCGTCACCCAGGCTGGAGTGCTGATCTCAGCTCCCTGCAACCTCTGCCTCCCTGGTTCAAGTGATTCTCCTGCCTCAGCCTTGCAAGTAGCTAGGATTACAGGTGCCTGCCACCATGCCCGGCTACTTTTTTTGTATTTTTAGTAGCGAAGGGCTTTCACCATGTTGACCAGGCTGGTTTCGAACTCCTAGCCTCAAGTGATCTGCCCACCTCGGCCTTCCAAAGTGCTGGGATTACAGGCGTGAGCCACCATGCCCGACCTCACATTACATTTAGTTCTCATGTTTCCTAAGGCTCCGCTAGGCGGTGACAGTTTCTCAGTTATTGTTTTTGATGACACTGACAGTTTTGAGGAGTACTGGTTAAGTATTCTGAAGGATGCTTTTCAATTTCAGTTTGATAGTTTCCTCAATCAAACTGGAATAATGGGGTTTTGAGGGAGGAAAACCACATAGATGAAGTTTTTTTTAATCACATTACATCAAAGCTACATGCTGTTGATATGTTGACAATGATCATTCGGCTGCTTCTTGACTAAAACGTTACTCTTTTCTCCCTTTTCCAAACAGCACTTTTGAGCAGGAAGTTGCTATGAAGTACTGATCCTGAAAAGTGGGGAATTCAGCTTCACCTATTTGAGGATGAACAGTGTATCTAAATTATGTTCAATTCTTCTGCATGGAAGATTTGTCTCTTTTTCTCTAATTATTTATTTATTAAATCATTTATTTATATTGGTATAAACTCATGGATATTTATTTGTTTTCCCTATGGAAAACTCTGGTTAATTTGTACTAATCTATACCGCTTAAAAGTACTGAGATATTTTTATGTGTACTCAGAGCTAACATTCCACATACCTCCATGGTCCACAGTATCATAGCACATCAAATCTGCTCAAGATAACTTTACGTCATAGCACATTGAAACATACCAGGGTATACTGGTCTGACTTCAGAAAATATTTATAATTCTTCCTTCCCCCCATATTAGACTAATACAATTTTCATCCTCCTCTTTCCTTTTTCTCTGACTTTTTATTGCTGCACAACAAATTACCTCAAAACTTAATGGCATAGTTCTGGCACTTGTTGCTTTCCTGGAATGGGATTTTGTGGATCTGGAATTCCAGTAGGGCACAGCAGAGATGACTTGTTTCTGTCTCCCTATATCTGCGACCTCAGCTGGAAGACTCAACGCCTGGGAGGGGTGACTTTTATGACTACAGGTTGGAATTACCTGCAGCCTTGTTCACTTAGGTGTCTCACAGTTCATGCTGGATGTTAGCTGGGAACTCAGCTGAGTTTGTCATTTAGAACAACTATATCTACCCTCTCTACATAGTTTGGGATTCCTCATAATGATGACTAGATTGCAAAGATGAGCTTATCAGAGAGAGAGACAGACAGACAGGCAGACAGGCAGACAGGTGGAAGAGGTGTCACCTTTCATAACCCAGCTAAGCTGTCACATAGTGTCATTGATTTCCATGATACCTGATTAGTTAAACCACTAACAAAAGTATACCCAGGTTCTAGGGGAGGAGACATACATTTCACCTTTTGATGGACATAGGAAAGTATGTGGGATTAAAAATAGTTTTATAGCCATTTTTGGAAAATAAAATCTAGCACTCCCTCTTAGAATTGCTTATTAGAACCATTTGGGTTCACTAGATGCTATAATTCTGAGTTTATGGTGCCTATTGGCCAAAATGTCTCCAAATGCTTAACTCTTATTCAACAACCATTCCTTAGACTTGTGTCATTTTGTTTAATCCACTACTACATTTAACTAATCATGCACCCTCCAAGTCTTCCTTCAGCTTCCACCTGCATTGCCCCATTGCATTGATGCCCTAGAGGGCTTCTTATCCAAGAACATCATCACAGCAAAAAAACAAAAAAGTCATTAGCAATAATTTAATAATTTTTAAATATAACCAAAAATAAATGAGGGAATAGACTTTTGCAAGTAGTTTTTAAGTGGAAAAATATCACCAACAATTGGGAAAAAAGTCTCTTACTTACCAGAGAGGCACAATAGGCATGCAGTATTGGAGGATGATAAAGGAAACTTAACTGACCTTCACCCAAAAAACCCTACTGTGAGAAAATTAACTTATTTAACTTATTGGCAAGAAGAAGGCAATCTTGACACTGTAATATTGATGGCTGTATAAAATAAAATTGGAGTGAAACTGTGAACATACATAATCCAGACCAGTGAATTAATGCCAGTAGGAGGTTAGAATGCAAATCATTAGTTTCCCCAAAACCTCTAGCAAGTATATCACAAATAGAACTTATTTCACATGGTTAGAAAATTAACAGTAAACTGCTTATTTAAATCATAGGAGAAATGTCACTTTGTAAACGAAAGATATTTAGCTGTATGGATATTCCTCTTCCCTGGTTTCTTTGCTTCCTACTGAAACTGAAAACACATGACAAGCCCCCTACTTCAGCAGTGATGCTCAATATTGCTAATGCTCCTAATAAAGTCAATTTTACTTTGAAGAGTTTTAGAGAACTTCCAAATGCTGAATCTTCAAACTGCTTGAATTAGGACACATACACGAATCTGAAATAAACTCTGATGCTCAATTCACACATTAAAGACCTTCCTTCTTAATTTAGACTTACCTTACACCTCTGGATTCACTTTACTATTGCTGTTCCAAAATATATTTATTCTGGAATTTTCTAATAGTGGTTGATATTTCTTCAAAGTGTTTGTTAAAACTTTAAAAACTTTAAATTGTATACTTGGATATTTAAGCATTTGAAAAATGGTTTTCCCAAAGTTGTTATAGCCTGTAACAATTCCACCATGAGATATACACACACAGGCATACACATGCATACATGCAAGTACGTGTGTATGACAGACTATATATGTTTGTGTGTGTTTATACACACACACTCTTTATGTTTATATGTATACATACAAAGAAATATAGTACATGTACATCTTTGTGTGTGTGTGTGTGTGTGTGTGTGTGTGTGTGAGAGAGAGAGACAGAGACAGAGTGAAGCTGGTAGAAAACTTGGAGTTTTGTTCAGTATTGTTTTCTAGCTCATAGAATCATTCACAATATAAATATCAATATGGCCAACAAATTATTTAAGTTTTTTATTTCTAGAATATAATTTGTTCTTTATTGCATTGTATGAATAAAGATTAATTTTAAGAAAATATATCAAACTCCTTATAAATGAGGATATTGGCATAACATTGCCATAGATTC
The DNA here is from genome assembly GCF_000001405.40 of Homo sapiens. Classification (NCBI taxonomy): domain Eukaryota; kingdom Metazoa; phylum Chordata; class Mammalia; order Primates; family Hominidae; genus Homo; species Homo sapiens. Next base: position 61,010,828 of record NC_000016.10, read on the forward strand.
ATGAAAATGTCAAATTTGGGCTGTATTATTGTTGCAAAAATTTTAAAAATAATTTTTATAGAATTGATTTGAGATTCATTGTTGGTATATTCTGTCTCATTATTCAACCAAAATGCATTCAATTTTTAAAATTCAGAGAACAACCGTCTGGTATGTTTTATTTTATACTATTTAAACCCCTTCATTATCCAATGAAATAAAATTCCTATATAACAGTTGCAAAGTCTTTAAAGTGTTTATCTTACAATCATTGATAGATTGTTTTTAACCTATCCAAATGTTATTATCTAATCTTGATTTGTATTAAATATAGCAAACAGTCATTTTCTTTAACATTCTTGTCTTCTAAATAATTTATATTTTAGGTTGGTGCAAATGTAATTGTGGTTTTTCCTATTACATTCAATGGCAAAAAACGCAATTACATTTGCACCAACCTAATAGATATTTTAAAACATGCATATGTATGAATATAAATGTATACCATGTTTTAGAATGGTTTGTATAAGAAAATCCAGTTAGGGTTGAAAATATCTAGTTAGGATTGATAATGCATTATATATGGTATATGCATTGGTATACATTTTAAAAATATTTTAAGCCTGGAATTGTTTTGTAAAAAACAAATTGAGCTTCTAGATGTTTCTCAGTCCACTGAACGGTTTCTCCATCCTCTAGGGAACAATTTTAATTTGAAATATTTAGTAAGTTCAGTTTTATGACTGTGCCACAACACGAGCAATTTTATTGAAATAGAAAGGGAAGAATAAAAATATTCAATAATTATTTTATTGATTTGGAGGCAATGAATTATTCATGGTTTCAAAGTATCTGTGTATAATTCTAATTACCTGCTTTTAAAGGATATGAGACCCGCTGAAAGTACATTAACAATTTTGATTGAACACCTGCTCCCTGGTAGAATATAGCAGGCATTAGAACCAAAATCCACTGTTTGTGTATGAATGTGTGCAAATGTGTGTGTGTATGTGTGTGTTTCTGATTTTCGGGGTGATCATGATATACTGTGCTTTGTTGGCATCTGATACCATGCTTTGATAGTTGTAAAAATAGGTCATTCAAGGTGATATAGCCAAATTATTCCCGACTCAAATGCATTATGCATTTTCTAACTATCTCTATTCATTTGTAGCTGTGACATACATTTTGAAGCATTAGAAATGCTTCCTGAGAAGGTTTCCTGAGACAAGGACTTGCTTATATACTTCTGCATTATTTTCAGTGACTAGTGGATAAAATCATAGTCTTATGTCTGCTATTATCCAGGTGTGAACCGAGGATTTTGGACTCAATGCCCTCACCCCCATCTACACCTGTAGGTCAGCTGCTATCACAGTGGTAGCACCATCATCCACTTAGTTAATTGGCCAAATTATTTAACTCGAAAAATTTCAGGGTCAAAGTTGGCTTAAGGAAGCTGGCAACACTGAATTATGTGATAGTTCTGGGCAATCCTACTGACTTTATTATTTTTAAAATTTCTTACCTTTCTTCACATCCCCCTGCTAGTAGCTTAATTCATTGGCATTTTCATGGGAACTTTACTGAAATTGCAGCCAGTCTCTTTATTCATGTTTCTTATCTGTTGCTTCTTTTTCATGTCACATTCAGGTGGTAAATTTGGTATAGTGAGCGCTTTTCATGCCATCCTCCCTTCTGAACCCTTGACATTGCAGAGCCCTGGCTTTAGGACAGTCTCTTAATGTGACTTACAATGTCTACAACGTCTTCTCTGATCTTTTTTTCTATGTCTCTGCCTTATTTCTCAGCAATTTTTCCCTTGAATTCTATGATCTCATTTTATCAAACATCTAGTTTTCCTGAATAACCATACTTTCTTTTCACTAGGCCCTTATACTGTTACTTCTTTCACTGTGAATACCTTACTTCTTACTCTCAACTCAAAAAAAAAATGTATTTGTTCAAATAGTAACTTGTCTGTGCATTTTAATGGTATCTAATAAATTAAATCAGTACAATGTGAAATTCAGATTAGGCTAAGTTTTAATAAAAGAAAAGATTACCATTTTATCATAGTTTATGTTTCTTGAATTTTCTCATAAATTATGTTTGTCCATATTTATAAACGTAAGTGAATCCTTAAAAAAAACCTCCTCACTTTGTTTTTCTATCATGACAATATATCAGAACTATAATGAGACAAGGTGTCTATTATTTTAGATGCAGTTTTTATTGCTTAACTCTGAAAACAGTAAGGGCCCATCACTTCTCTCTGGGATAAAGCCACAAATGTTTCTTTCTCATAACTGGTAAAAAAATAATTAATTAAAAAATGTTTTAAAAAGTACTCAGACTTTTAAGGAGACGAAAACTTACGGGGGTAGGAGAAGAAAAGAAAGAAAGTCAAGAATACATCTGATGCTTACTCTATGAGTTGAAATAAAAACAAACAAGTCAATATTTGGCTCAACCTTTGGGGATATGAGACAAGGATAATATTGCACTCTTTGGTAAGGAAATGTGTTTGTAAAATTTTATCTGACAGTTCAACAATAGCGCTTCAGTAACAAAAACCTAGTCTTAGCATCTGTAACATTTATGTAGACACTTTACATTTTTTTCTATAATTTTCACAACCATTTGGCAATTTAGAGGTATATCTCCTTTTCCATCTGTGAATCTGAGATTTTGTTTTACTAAGTCCCAAAGCCACGTGGTAGAACCTAAACGTGAACCCAAGAAATGTTTTTTCCCTATTGCTCCACACAGCATTTTATTTGACTGACCATATTACACGATCACACACACACACATACACACACACATACACACACACACACAGAGTAAGTAAGACATTGAGTGGTGAAATATTAAGAGGCAATATGTTAAATATTCTCTCCAGATAACCAATAAACAGTTTAAAAAGGCAACCACTTACATAGTCTTCATACCCTATATTAATATTTTATGTTTCTACAATTCAATTAAATAAATTATTAGTAAACTTCGATTAGCTACTGGGTGCTTTTAATGTGAGAAAACAGGTGTTCAATAATTCTATTAATATTGTGGCATAGGTTCGTCAGTGTAGATATATGTAGGTGTTTACCATGTTTTTGTGGACTTTCTGAACTAAGTAGGCCTAAATCACTACTTGTTTGGTGTGACTAGAATCAAATGTAATTATACGTCTTATGGTAGATAAAAATAACACTGCGGGGAGGAAATAGGGATCATGGCGGCAGGAGGCAGGACTACATTGCACCTCTGACTGGAACAAAGAGCATATGGAGGCTCGCATTATGAATTTTTGCTTCAGAATAACTGCAGGAATAAATCAGGAAAACTGAGAAGACCCACAGACCTCATGAAGGAAGCATATTGCTCCTGCAGGACCAGGGAACACCTCAAATACTGTGAGTGCCCAAACTGTGAAGGTGGGAGGGGGAGATCATCCACACATGAACACATACCCCCACTGGGGAAAATGAAGGCCTAGATTATGGGAGAAGATTTTGACCCTACCAGGAGCTGAGACAATTTAGAGAGCTGAGTGAAATACAAGGGTAGAGAAAGCAGCAGGAAAACCCCTGGTAGCTCACTGGGTTTCGTACCAACCCGTTTCTGCCTGGCCTCACAGGGGTCCTCTGGGAGGGCTCCAGAGGTGCTGGGCAAAGGCCAAAGGGAGAAAGAAATCTCCAGCTGAACCTTGCAACAACCTGAACTTATCAAGAAGCCTCCTGGCCGGAACTCAGGGGAGGGCATGAATCTGGTGTGCAGACTCCACTGGCTGGGCAAGAAGGAAAGCCATATTTGCTTTCACAGCTGGGAGGCGGGTATCCTGGGGCAAGCTCTCAGCCCTGCTTGCCCACTGCCTGGAAACAGACTCAGTGCTATTGTGGGGAACATGGTGGGAGTGAGACCAGCCCTTAGGATTGTGTGGGAGCTGGGTGAGGCCTGTGACTGCTGGCTTTCCCCCACTCCCCTGACAACCTGCATGACAAAGCAGAGGCAGCCATAATCCTCCTAGGAACATAACTCCATTGACTTGAGAATCTCAACCCCATCTCCCATAGCAGCCACAGCAAGACCAGCCCAAGGACAGTCTGAGCTCAGACATGCCTAGCCCTGCCCCCACCCAGTGGTCCTTCCCTACCCACCCTGGTAACTGAAGACAAAGGGCGGATAGTCTTGGGAATTCTAGGGCCCTGCCCACCACCTGTTCCTCCCCATACCACCACAGCTGATGCTCTCTGGAAAGCGCCACCTCGTGGCAGTAGGCCAAACAGCCCAAAAGTAGTGCATTAAACCACCCTAAGAACCCTCACGGAGTCCATTTCACCCCCCTGCCACCTCCACTGAAATAGGTGCTCGAATCCATGCCTCATAGACCCACAGAGTATTCACATCACAGGACTCTGTGCAGACAACCCCCAGTACCGGCTGAGAGTCTGGTAGACTTGCTGGGTGGCTAGATCCAGAAGACAGATAACAATCACTACAGCTCAACTCCCATGAAACCACATCCATAGGAAAAGGGAGAGAGTACTACATCAAGGGAGCACCAAGTGGGACAAATGAATCTCAACAACAGCCTTCAGCCTTAGACCGTCCCTCTGACAGAGCCTACCCAAATGAGAAGGACCCAGAAAACCAACTTTGGTAATATGACAAAACAAGGTTCTTTAACACCCACACAAAATTACACAGGCTCACCAGCAATGGACCCAAACCGAAAAGAAATCCCAGATTTACCTGAAAAAGAATTCAGGAGGTTAGTTATTAAGCTAATCAGGAGGCACCAGAGAAAGGTGAAGTCCAATGTATGGAAATCCAAAAAAATGATACGAGAAGTGAAGGGATAAATATTCAAGGAAATAGATAGCATAAATAAAATCAAACAAAAGTTCAGGAAACAACAGACACACTGGAAAGTCTCTGCAATATAATGGAACAAGAAGAAATAAATTCAGAGCTCAAAGACAAGGTCTTCCAATTGACCCAATCCAACAAAGACAAAGAAAAAAGAATAAGAAAATGTGAACAAAGCCTCCAAGACATCTAGAATTATGTTAAATGACCAAACCTAGGAATAATCAGTGTTCCTGGGAAAGAAGACAAATCTGAAAGTTTGGAAAATGTATTTGGGGGAATAACTGAGGAAAACTTCCCTGGCCTTTCTAGAGACCTAGACATCCAAATACAAGAAGCACAAAGAACACCTTGGAAATTCATCACAAAAAGATGTTGGCATATTGTCATCAGGTTATCTAAAGTTAAGATGAAGGAAAGAATCTTAAGTGCTGTGAGACAAAAGCACCAAGTAACCTATAAAGGAAAACTTATCAGATTAACAGCAGATTTCTCAGCAGAAACCCTACAAGCTAGAAGGGATTGGGGCTCTATCCTCAGCCTCCTCAAAAAAAAATAATAATAATTCAGCCAAGAATTTTGTATTCAGCAAAGCTAAGCTTCATATATAAAGAAAAGATACAGTCTTTTTCAGACAAATGCTGAGAGAATTTGCCACTACCAAGCCACCACTCAAGAACTGCTAAAAGGAGCTATAAATCTTGAAACAAATCCTAGAAACACATCAGAACAGAACCTCTTTAAAGCATACATCTCACAGGACCTATAAAACAGAAATACAATTTAAAAAATAAAAACAAAAAACCAAAGTATACGGGCAACAAAAAACACTATGAATGCAACCGTACCTCACATCTCAATACTAACATTGAATGTAAATAGCCTAAATACTCCACTTAAAAGATACGCAACTGCAGAATGGGTAAGAACTCACCAACCATCTGCTGCCTTCAAGAGACTCACCTAACATATAAGGGCTCACAGAAACTTAAAGGGGTGGAAAAAAGACATTTCATGCAAATGGACACCAAAAGCAAGCAAAAGTAGCTGTACTTATATCAGACAAAACAAACTTTAAAGCAACAGCAGTTAAGAAAGACAAAAAGGGACATTATATAATGATAAAAGGCCTTGTCCAACAGGAAAATATCACAATCCTAAACATATATGCACCTAACACTGGAGCTCCCAAATTTATGAAAAAATTACTAAAAGACCTAAGAAATGAGATAGATAGCAACACCATAATAGTGACAAATTTTAATACTCCATTGTCAGCATTGTCATCAAGACGGAAAGTCAATAGAGAAACAATGGATTTAAACTATACCCTGGAACAAATGAACTTAACAGATCTATACAGAATATTCCATCCAACAACTGCAGAATATGCATTCTGTTCAACAGTGCATGAAACTTTCTCCAAGACAGACCATAGGATAGGCCACAAAATGAGCCTCCATAAATTTAAGAAAATTGAAATTATATCAAGCACTCTCTCAGACCACAGTAGAATAAGACTGAATATTAACTCGAAAAGCAATCTCCAAAATGATGCAAATACATAGAAATTAAATAACGTCCTCCTCAATTATAATTAGGTCCAAAATGAAATCAAGATGAAAATTAAAAAATTCTTCAAACTGAACAACAATAGTAACACAACCTATCAAAACCTCTGGGACGCAGCAAAGGCAGTGCCAAGAGGAAAGTTCATAGACCTAAACTCCTACATCAAAAAGTCTGAAAGAGCACAAACAGACAATCTAAAGTCACACCTGAAGGAACCAGAGAAACAAGAACAAACCAAACTCAAACACAGAAGAAGAAAGGAAATAACCAAGATCAGAGCAGAACTAAATGAAATTGAAAAAAATAATCAATACAAAAGATAAATGAAACAAAAAGCTAGTTCTTTGAAAAGATAAATAAAATTGATAGATTATTAGCAAGATTAACCAAGAAAAAAGAGAGAAAATCCAAATAAGTTCAATAAGAAATGAAATGGGAGATAATACAACTGACACTACAGAAATGCAAAAGATTATTCAAGGCTACTATGAACACCTTTATGCACATAAACTAGAAAGCCTAAGGGAGATGGAAGAATTCTTGGAAAGATACAACTTTCCTAGCTTAAATCAGGAAGAATTAGATAACCTGAACAGACCAATAACAAGCAGTGAGATTGGAATGGTAATTTAAAAATTACTAACAAAACAATGTCTAGGACCAGGCAGGTTCACAGCAGAATTCTACCAGACATTCAAAGAAGAATTGGTACCAATCCTATTGACTCTATTCTACAAGATAGAGAAAGAGGGAACCCTCCCTAAATCATTCTGTGAAGCCAGTATCACCCTGGCACCAAAACCAGGAAAGGACATAACCAAAAAAAAAAAAAAAAAAAAACACACACACACACAAAAACTAAAGCCCAATATCCCCGATGAACATAGACGCTAAAATCCTTAACAAAATACTAGCTAAGTGAATCCAAATTCCCTAACATTGCATTTCTCCGAACACATACCCATCATTAAGGGACACATGGTTATATTAAAATAAGAAAACCTTAGTTTTGGGCATATGTTTATGTGATTATGTGTAAATAATTTAAATATTTCTATCTCACTTTCCTTCCTTCAAATTTAGCGATTTCAAATAAAGGAACGTTTAAGTAAATTATGGTTTACTCACATATAAAACATATTTTATACTGATGCTAGTGAAGAGCTCATAAAAATCCACTTTATTAGTTTGAATTTAAAAACATAAATATATGTGTACTTTCACTGGTAAATATTATAAAACATTAGCTATTATGTCATTGTATGATGGACTTATGGACTTTTTAAAATTATTTTTAAATACTCGAAGTAGAGTTTTTAATAAATATCCATTTTTAATTAATAAAGAATATTTTATTACTCAAATATAAATTTAAAATTTTCTATTAGAATTAGAGGCCGGGCGCGGTGGCTCACGCCTGTAATCTCAGCACTTTGGGAGGCGAGGTGGGCGGATCACGAGGTGAGAAAATCGAGATCATCCTGGCTAACACGGTGAAAGCCCCTCTCTACTAAAAATACAAAAAATTAGGTGGGCGTGGAGGCAGGCGCCTGTAGTCCCAGCTACTCGGGAAACTGAGGCAGGAGAATGACGTGAACCCAGGAACCCGGGAGGCGGAGCTTGCAGTGAGCCAAGATCGCGCCACTGCACTCCAGCCTAGGCGACAGAGCGAGACTCCGTCTCAAAAAAAAAAAAAAAAAAGAATTTGAGAGCTCAAGGGTACAATGAGGAAATTTTATTGTATTATACAAATAATCATAAAAAGTAATATAAACACAAATATTAAGGATTATCATAGAAAGGTATCTTTATTCATGTTGTCATAACCATTGTAATTTCCTGGAATTATATATTATCTCATGGAAGATATGGCCCTAAAATTAAAGCTCATAGACTTCAGGCTTCAAAATAGTATTGAGAGTATCATGAAGGCCAGAGGAAGTCATGGAGATTTTTTAATTAAAGTAATTAAAAATCCAGTTAATAAGCAGCTTCTTATTACAAGAACATAGAGAAGAGATGATATCTTATAGCCACTATTTCTATTTCTATGTCACTCTACCTCTTTGAAGCTATATATATATACATAATTGAAAATTTGTTACTTATCACCCCAAACATCCAGAACATAGCTATTCTACTGCTTGAGGAAGTAAAGTTGGATGAAATTCAATAAATTTGCACAAATTGCTTGAGTTTTTCTGTATTCACATTTACAATAATGTCTTTTTCATATGGAAGATAATTCTAAGTATAAAACAGAGTTTTAATTTTATTTTAAATGTTTTAATTCTGAAGCATTTCAAATTAAAAAAAAATCTGTAACAGAGATAACCAGAAATATTACACAAGTTACATATGTGCTTTCAAATTTTCAAATAGTCACACTTAATAAAAAGAAACAAGTAAAATTACCTTTAATAAAATATTTTATTGATCCAATGTTAAAAAATTATAATTTTGACATTTTGAGTTTTCAACCATCTCCATCAATGTAAAACTATTAAGATGTATCACATTTTTTGTATTAAGTCTTTGAAATCTGATGTGCATTTTACTCATATAATTTATCTCACTTTGGACTAGTCACATTTTATGTACTCAATAGTCGCACGTGGCTCATGACTACAATATTCACCAGCACAGAATAATACAAAGTCACAGTCTTCGTCCATCACACAGATTTTAAAAATAAATAAATAAATGTTATATAACAAATATATAATTTCATAGATATAATATAACAAATATATGTATATTTATATATATATATAGAGAGAGAGAGAGAGAGAGGTTCTTGCTCTGTCACCTAAGCTGGAGTTCAATGTTGATCATAGCTCACTGCAGTCTTGAGACCCTGTGCTCAAGCTCACTGCATCACTGAACCATACCCCACTGCAACATTGAACCCCTGTAATCAAGCATTCCTCCCATCTCAGCCTCCTGAGTAGCTAGGACTACAGGTGTGTGTCGCTACACCTGGCTAATTTTTTTTTTCTTGTATAGAAGGAGCGCCTCACTATGTTGTTCAAGTTGGTCTTGAACTCCTGGCCTCAAGCGATCCTCTCACCTCAGCCTCCTAGCATGTGAAATTATAGGTGTCAACTACCAAGCTCAGCCTAAAATATTTTAATTATTTGAAGAAAAATATGTGGAGAAACAAATGGCAAAATATTAATACACTACATATAAAACGGAAGCCATCAACCACCTGGCTCTGGCGAACACAACAAACTGCATTTTTATCTCATCCTTTCAGGAGTTAATAAGTACCTTGACATTCATGTACCCTTTCATTTTTTAAAAATATTCAGAATGTATTGTGGTCTTCTTTTAAATTTTAAGTGATATTGGCATTGCTATTCTTGTGGTGTTTAAGTAAGGATGATTTCACCTGTAAAGCTCAGAAAAGCTAAACTCTAGTTGGCTATTTCAGTAAGAGATTCTTCCCTCCGAAAAATTGTTCACATGGCTCGAAGTCCTAAGGTATGGCAAGGTTAAGTAGGTTTATTTAACAGCTCACTTTCATTTTCAGAACCACATTTTGTTTTCTCTTCTTTGAAGTCTAAAACGTTGATGACGTCTAAAGTGTTGCTGGCTGTGTCCTGAGTGAAGAAAGTACAATGGGTGTTGGCAGCTGAGCCTACAGCATCCCTTGTGAAGGTCTGACAGTTGAGGAAAGATAGCTTCTTGGGACTTTCAGCAGAGCAAGAACTCTTCCAGAATACTGCATGCAGTGCGCCCTATCTCTCATTTCATTTCCCACGATTTGCTCACATCAACTTTCTGAGCATATCATTGCCAAGCAGAAAGATTACACCCTTAGTTTGATCAAGTTCTTTTTGAGGCTGACAGGCATAAAAACAGGCGCATTGTTATTAATCGAGAGAGTGATGAAAGCAGTTCTGAGGAGGTAATGATAATGCCCACCACTATGTTTGTAATGAGAGTCCAGACTTTCTACTTTTCAACCACCTGCATCAAAAGAATGGTGTATACTCATTCTCCAGTTGATAAAACAACAACAGAAATAAGCATTGTTTTCATCCAACTCCCAGAAAACAGACAGTACTACATCTCTGTGAATCTATTATATAATTTCAGAGTAACCAGAATTCTACATAATAACAATTTAACCTTTGCGTTATCACACTTGATTAGGTTAAAAAAGACTTTAAAGAATGAATACTTAACTGCAGAGTCTTCTACAGTTTATCTTTTCAATCATTTTGTCTGAATTTATGCATTTCCATCTTTATGCCTTTGCTTATGCTATTTTCGCCCTCAATATCATTTGTTTGGTTTTATCAGAATTTTATAAGTACTTTGAGATCCAGGTAGAAGAACAGCTCCCTTAGGAAGATTTTTCAGTTGTAAACAATGAAATTTTTCTCCCAGAACACATTGTTAATACTTCTTTTTTAATGGTTTACTATAATTTTGGGCAGAATGTGAAGTTGGGCATTTGAACTTTGAACATTTTCTAAATTTTCATACTAGAGAAATTGTCTCTTTTCTCAAGCTGCTACCTGTGAGATTATTTATATTTCAATCCACCATGTCTACTCAAACATGGTAAACTTCTACTAAATATCTTCTGAATAAATGGGGTTCAACATGAAGATGTAATGATCAACGGAATAAAATGACACTTCTCTCTCTCTCTCTCGCTGTCTCTCCATCTCTCATAAATGACAGGTAATCGCGGTAAAATCATGTGACCCAGACACGAACTGAGAGTTCCAGTTGCATTTGAATTTAGTGATACTTCTTATGGGTTATTTTCAGGAATCATTGAAAGTCATGATACTGCAACAAAAGCGCATGAAAGATCTAGTTTAAAGAAGGCCTGTGCATAATTTCTAAACTGGTTAGTCAGTTAATTAGCTTTTGAAATTTGGGAACCAGTGATAAAGTCCTGATAACTGATCATTTGAAGATTGAACTTTGAAATTTGGATTTATTTCACTGTTTAAGAGGGGAACCAACAAGAAAGGTAACTAAAGAAGAAGGCAATGTGTTGAAGGTAACGTGTTGCTGCTCATTTTACCCCAACTGGCTTTAAAACAGATGTAGAAAATGGTATTAAAAATACTTTATTGGCTTTCCATACCCTAACAGCCCAATTCACATCAAGCATTTCATTAACTAAGGCTGTGGTAGAAAAAAAGTCATTTAAAAAGGTAATTGTCTAATTTTGTTCTCTTGTCACAGAAGTTACAAAATATAATATTTAAATAACAGCACCTATATTGCTCTTAGTCTATCAAGTAATCATTATATAAAATATAAACTGACAGAAAAATAAAATTCGAATAATGCAATGTTTAAAATTTAAAGCATACGTCAAAAAAATACAGCATGCATTTTCAAAACAGTAACTAGCTTTTTAAAACATGTAAACAAAGAGCAAGTGGCAATGGGAGCGGATAACCAGCACTGAACCTTCGTTTTGGCCTATGCCTTGGGCTGGCGTGATAGGCAAAACTTTTCTTAAGAGGAAGATAGCAAGTATTGCTGGCTTCTATCCAAACCACTCTTGCTCTGTTTACATTCTTTGCTCTTCAGCCCTCCCATTGCCAAAGTTTGCCATTTTGTTTTCCCCAGTCTGCAGTTAACCTCTTTGACACATAACTGGCATTTCCCAGTACCCAGGACCACAATTGGCTCACCAGAATTAGTGACAGTTGCCCTTCCTTACTCCACCTGGAAACAGCACAATGAGTACATGCTTAGTGCAAATTAGATAACAGACACCCCTTTCTCGAGGTGAACCTAGCCCTGCTGTAAACCCTGTTTGACCCATTTCCCAGGGTCCTTGGATAATGAACCATCTAAACATGTATATGACAACCTTACTAGTTGCTGATCTTATCTATATTCCCCTTGCTGTACAATGTTAATTGTTCCTTTCGGAAAAGTCACGCTCATAGATGAAATGTCTTCAGTTGCTGTTCTAGGCTAGCTATTGCACAGATATGCACATTTTTTTTCCTAAATCATTTTTCCAAACCTGGCTCTCAAATGTTCTTCTTTCCTGCTTACATTCCCCTAAATACAAAATTCTATCCTCTAATTTCTCTATTTGCTCCATCTATTGAGTAAACGAGAGTATTTCCTATTGATGTCTTCATACAGAAGAAAATTCATAGAAATATTTATACCAAAATGTTAATAGTGTTTCTTTTGTTGGTGGCTTTTCTTATCAAATTTTTTTTTAGTTTTTTTCTTTAATGGACATGTATAAATTATGTAATGCATTTACAAAAACGCTCCTCAGTTTAAGAAAGTAAATAAATGATAATCATTTTTAAATGCTTACTGATCTCTTTAATTGTAAGACTCAAAAATTTAGAAGTAGGAGGTACAGCTGTTAAAATCACAAGTATGACCTCAGGCTATATCAACCTGAGCATGGAGTTGAGGTGCGCTCCAATAAAGGCATGGAAAAGAGGTTTAAAAAACATACATTATCCTAGTCAGAACTGAGGGAGTCACATAACCTGAGAAGAAAGAGAGGAATTATTTCTTTTTGGGCAGAATATTTATGTCTGCTGATATAACTTGGCCATTATCTAAACTACCACTCTGGTATTACATTGGACAAAAATTAATAAAATAGTTTTCTTATTACAACACTCTGTTGACAAAAAAAAATATTAAACAACAAAGAAACTGTCTTAACCCCCAATACTGAATTGCATTTTTTTCCTCTGCTAGCTCTTAAAAATTAGAGATACTGAGGGGGAACAAATTCTCATAGATGGGTGACACTCTTAATCAGAGTCAAATCTTGGAAGCTGTTTCAAATTAACTCTTTTCACAGTTTTCAGCAGTTTTGTGTGGCATGCACATGCTTTGTCTAAGATTTTTATTATACATAATATTGTGTGGCTTGAAACACCACTTATTAAGTTCCTATGGTTTGCTGGATAATGTGGTGACTAACATTTCTGGAGGACCTCATAGGATAGTGGAGAAACAGACATGTAACTATGCCAATCATATTAACCACAGTAAATGCCATGACAGAGGAAATGAATAGGTCACACTGGAAGTCGAGAAAATGGTAGTCACAGTTCTTTCCTTAATACCACTTAAGCACTTGTGGGGAAGACGGGGATTAGACCCATGACAGCACAATCAGCTTCTGCATCTTTTGTGCTGAGATTACAGTGCAGTGCCATTGTTTCCTTGTATCCTCATCCAAAGGCTCATGGCTAATTAATATGCTTGATTGAAAGGCAGCAAAAGCTTGTGCATGCATGCAATGGATAAAAGCCTAGTGTTGCTGAAAACAAAACAAAATGAAGAAAAAAAACCAAACCAAATAAAATAAAATAAGAAAGAAAAGAAGGAAGAAAGGAAAAAAGAAATCAGAGCCTTACAGTGGACACAAAAGCTTAGCTCTGCAAGAATGTTAAACCCTATTTTATTTCTCTGTCACTGAATTTAAAATGAGATTGGAGAAGGACTGTAAGTGTTGAGAAGAGTGAAGCAATTTCAAGTGACAGAGTTCAAAAGAGGTGGTTATGCATTTCTAAATGGGTACTGAATCTCCTTTAGAGATATTTTGCACTTAGAAATAAAGAGTTCAGTTGAGACCGTCACCTAACTTTCTGGAAAAAATGGCCTATGCAAATTGACCATATCTTTTACTGAAAGCTATGGTCATAGGAATTCCAGGTTTCATTCATTTGACATTCCACAAATATTTATGGAATGTCTACAGTGTGCTAGGGGCAAGGAAAACAAAGCATAATATTTCAAAGGGATCTCTGTGTAATTAATGCCCCCAAATTGTATATGTTAATAAATAACCCTCAACAACTATAGACAAAAATGCTAATACTGATTTTAAATGTATATTTGCATATATGTGTGTATATATATTTACCTATTATGTGTTATGTATTTATATGTTATATATCTCAGATAAAAGACTGGCCATATGACTTTATAAGCAATAATTTCCAGTAGAAAATAATGACACAAATTGCTTATAGAAGGGTATGTAAAGAAAATCATGTGTTCTTTTGCCAACATCCCAGAACAGATGTTGTTTTGTACTATGACTTAATAACCTATTTAGTAATTGTGAGAGGTATATAGAAAAAAATGCCATGACTATGAAAGTAAATATAGAGAATTAACCTACAACTAAGCCCTCAATTATTAATCCCATTAAAAATTTTTGCCAACTGCAATTGTCTACTAAATTTTACTTTCATTTTACTCTCAAAATAGTATAGGGGTTAGGAAGAGTAAGCATTCTTATCAATATTTTACATAAATTTTGAGTTCAGAATGATAAGACGTTTATCATTATTTCTAACAAGCATTCTTGCCTCTTTGGGCTGGTACAAAAATCATCATTTTTTCTTTGGGATATCACCCCTACCTCATTCCTTTCCAACGTTCTTTCACTCATATATTATCTCTGTCCAAATGGTCCTTGTTTCATTGCCTTGTTTCAATTTTTGTCATTTACTTATTGATGAATTAGAATATTTTATGCCCTGTCAACAATGATTGTGTCAGAGATAGGCATATAATGGACCACTCATGGTGTTCCATCACATTTATTACAGAGATACTGTGAAAGAGGTCTTTATTTCAGGAATTTCAAACTCCAAGAACTAGATAAGTCAAAACCTGCCAGCAGAACACAATATCTGCAGAATGAATTTATACCAGTTGCAAGTGATACAACTGGTACTATTTCAAACATATAGAGATAATGCTTGCAAGTGGATCAGAACATGATATAGGAACACAATTTTGTACTGTTCATCTCTTAACTCTGCTTTTCTTTGTGCTGGATCTATTGTCAAGCAACTCTCCCTTTCTCCTTGGTGGCAAAATCACTGTCATCAGTTTTACACTTTTTATCCCATTTTCTCAGCATCCCTCAAAGAAAGAACATATATCTTCCTAGCATTTTCAAGTTGGGCCTCAAAATTGAATCTCATAGCTCTGCCTTAGAAAACATTTTTATTCCAGAACCAATCACTGTGGGTGAAGGCTTGAAATAACATATAGATTCACCATATTCAGATTAGGTGTCCACTCTTGATTCTGGAGTTTGAGTTCAACCTCACTCAAACCACATGGATGGTGGTAATTTCCTGATTCTAAAAATGGTGCCCTTTCCAGATAAAGGGAAAAGGGGTAGTGTCCTGACAGAAATAACTTAAGTCCATGTCAGAAACCAATTCAAAAAAGAAGTACGTAGAAAGAGATGCTGGATTTTGCAACAGGTGACCCTGGATTCAACTATGTTTAAAATTGTTTATGTGTCAATGAATACGATTTTCTTTGAGTTGATTTGAATCAGGTTTTTATCATCAGAAATCTAGAAGCTTCTTTGATGTGGGGCTGAAAAGGAGATACATGCCAATAGGGTACTTAGGTTCAGAGATGTAATTTATTTGTTTTTATTCATATAGAAAACCAGTGTTGTGGTTAGCCTTTGTTTTGCAATTTACTTTTGCTGCTCAATGTGCATCCTGCAGCTACCCCTAATTTTATTTTTACAAGTATTTTATATAACATTTTATTATATATATATATATTCAGTTTTTATTACATAGACTTATATGGTTTACTCTTATATATTTTTTCTTTTTGAAATGATATCTGCCCCAATAAACTCATATTATGCTCTCTTCTGACTCATTTGACAGTAATATCCCAAACTCAAACCCTAAAAATGGAGATAGTGAAGGAAAAGGGAAAAGACTTAAAAAAAACAACACTTTATTTCTTACATCAAAATTGCTACTTGGAAAAAATTGCATTTTTCTTTTTACTGAATACCCTTTCAATAGGTCTTAGGTAGGGTTTCCTAGAAGAAGACACTGAGATGAGAATTAGTGTTCAAAGGACGTGTTAAGAAAATGCCCCTGGCTGGGTGCAGTGGCTTACGACTGTAATCCCAACACTCTGGGAGCCTGAGACTGGCGGATCGCCTGAGGTCGGGAGTTCGAGACCAGCCTGACCAACATGGAGAAGCCCCGTCTCTACTAAAAATACAAAAATTTGCTGGGTGTGGTGGCACATGCCTGTAATCCTAGCTACTCGGGAGGCTGAGGCAGGAGAATAGCTTGAATCCGGGAGGCAGAGGTTGCAGTGAGCTGAGATCACGCCATTGCACTCCAGCCTGAAAACAAGAGCAAAACTCTGACTCAAAAAAAAAAAAAAATTGCTCCCTAGAAAAACCAGTAAGTAAATAGGTAAAACAGGACAGGGAAAGGAATAAAGTCAAGAAGAGATTCAATTCAGGCAATCCCAGTCGCAGCCAGATCCTTCAGGGAAGCTCTGAAGGATAAATTGCATCTCAGAATTATCCCAACTGGAAGAAAGGGAGCTGGGTGTCAATAACACTTTTGTGTCAACCAGTCATTGGCTAAGAGCAACCCCTCACTGGGATGCTTTGTGATATGCAAAGTTTCAGACACATCTACCTTTGTGGATGAGGATGACAAATTGCCTCCAGTCATTCCAAGGAAACCCTCTGAATAGCCAGACACAGCCGTCAGAAGCAAAAGCACCTATAAGCTAGAGGAGAGGACCACAAAACCAGTGAAGAGATCTGAACACAGCTAGGCAGAATACTGACAGGATCAGGACAGTCAGTGTCAGGTATTTACCAATAGAGATGCAGGGAAAAAATTCTGCCTGTGTACAAATTCCATGCCCTTAATACTTTTGTGAAAAAATCTCTTTAATTTAGTTTTTCTGTTAACTGGTGATATTTATTTTAAAACTACAAGTGGTAATTATTTCTTCAATATTTGTTTGAATATATATATATATATATATATATATATATATATATATATATATATATATATATGAAAAACTTTAAACAAATTCTGAAGACGCTAACTTGGTGTGCAATGTCAGAAGGCCTCGCAACTCCTCTTTCTTGCTTTATTCAGGGCACAAAGCTTTTGGATACATGAAATGAGTCAACCTTTCAGATAAATTGCTGATGAAGGATATCTCAAATAAAGATGTTTTGAAAGCTTCAGCCATACCCTTGATTTCTTTACTGAGCTCAGGTTGTGTGAGTTCCCTGGGAGAATGGTGGGACAATTCTAATTCCCACCTTCAGAACATTACTATAGATGTCTCTTCATGTGGCTTCAAGTTAAAAGCCCAGTGAAGGCTGTTTAAGTTTCAAAGATTAAATGCAAAACCTTCTCCATTAAGAAATACACACACACACACACACACACACACACACACACACACACACATAAATATTACTGGGTTTCCATTTTTTCTTGTCATCTTTCTACTGCCATCTCCATCCGCTACTTCTTGTAGCTCCCCTTTTTAATCCTAAAATTTATCTTGAAGCTTGCCTTGGCTTTTTTCCTCTGAGTCTTCCTAGAGCCTCCAAATTCTCTGTGACACATTTTTATACAATATGGTACATGCATTTACATTTATATGTATTAAAATGTTATATTTTACTAATAAAAAGTTTGGCATGCATAAGATTGATATAAATGAGTAAAAGTCATATCAAATCTAGCCTTGTGGGAAGGGAGGAACACAAAGATTGGAAAAAGAAGATGACAGTTGTAATATACTTGTTTTTTTGAGGTGGGGTCTCACTGTGTTGCCCAGGCTGGAGTGCAGTGGCATGACCTTGGCTCACTGCAACTTCAACCTCCTGGGCTCAAGCAATCCTCCCACCTCAACCTCCTGTGTAGTTGGGACTACAGGTGCATGCCACCATGCCTGTTTAATTATATCTATATCTATATCTATCTATCTCTATCAATTTGTATCTCTATGTATAGATATAGATTTTGTTTGTTGTTTGTTTTTGTAGAGATGGGGTTTCATCATGTTGCTCAGGCTGTTCTTGAACTGCTGAGCTCAAGCCATCTGCCCTCTTCGGCTTCCCAAAGTGCTGGGATTACAGGCATGAGCCACCACATCCAGCCTTGATGCACTATTTTTAAAATAACACTTTTATTTAAATATATCTGTAGAAAATTGTAAAAGTGAGAAGTGTAGATGTTAGAGGATTATCACAAATCTGACATAGCCATTTAGGCAAAAAATACAAAATATTAGCATCACTAAAGTCCTTCTTATGGCCTTCTTCATTATTTCCTCTTCTCTTTAACAGTGTTGTTTAAAGTACCATATTATGTATTTTATATACAATACAATATTACTTTACACAGAGAGGTACTTTATACAGAGAAGTACATGTATACTTATATACTTTATATATACAAACATCATGTGCACATATATGTACACAACTACCTATATTTTTTGTTTTATAAATCAATATCAGTTTGTTAGACATTTGAAGATATTAACTACATTGCTGTCTAATTCCCTTTATCTTGGATGAGAAGAAAAAATCCATTTTACTGTTGTTCTTTGAAGGTTACCCTTATGATTTTCCCGTTGTCTTTTATTTTCCTAAAGATGCTATAATATTGGAGTGCATTCAGATGACTTAGAATTAGTAACAGTACTTGAATATAAATGTGAATATCTTTTATCAGGTTTGGAAAACTATTAACTACTATCTCTTATGCCCTTTCCCAAATTTTCCACTATTCATTCTCATTTTATGATTGAGTTTGGTCTTGTTCTGGCATTTTTAAATATGACTAATTTTTTCTGCAGGATTACTTATGTGTTTTCAAATTATTTATTTAAGTCATCTTAATTTTTGTTTCATGGACATTTATTTTGGATTTTTAAATTTTTAGGATTTTTCACTGTTTAAAAATTTTTGAATATATTCATTAAAAGTATTTTAATTTTATTATCTTGATCAACTGTGATTTCATTCTTATTGCCTATTTTTTCTCCAGAATGTGGTAATATATTTGAATATGTCAGGTGATCATTTTAATTTAATTTAAAGTTCCAAGTTACATGTGCAGGATGTGCAGGTTTGTTACATAGGTAATCATGTGCCATGGTGGTTTGCTATGCCTATCAACTCATCACCTAGGTATTAAATTCAGCATGCATTAGCCATTTTTCCTGATATTCTCCCTTTCCCCATCCCACCTGTAGGCCCCAGTGTATGTTGTTCCCCTCCCTGTGTTCCCCTCCATGTATTCTCATTGTTCAGCTCTCACTTCTAAGTGAAAACATGGGGTGTTTGGTTTCCTATTCCTGCATTAGTTTGCTGAGGATAATGGCTTCCATCTCCACCCATGTCCCTGCAAAGGACATGATCTCATTCTTTTTTATGGCTGCATAGTATTCCATGGTGTATATGTACCACAATTTCTGAATGAAGAGTTTATCTACCTTCAATCTTTGAGGCTACTGACCTTTGGATGGGTTTTTTGTGGGAACTTTTTTTGATGCTGTTGTTGCTTTATTTTTGTTTGTTTTTTCTTTTAACAGTCAGGCTCCTCTTCCTTAGGGCTGCTGCAGTTTGTTGCGCGTCCACTCCAGACCCTGTTTTCCTGAGTCCCTCCCACCCCTGGAGGCATCACTACTGGACGCTGCAAAACAGCAAAGATGGCTGCCTGCTCCTTCCTCTGGGAGCTCCATCCCAGAGGAGCACTGACCTGATGCCAGTGGGAACGCTCCTGTATAATGTGGCTGGTGACCCGCGTTTGGGGGTTTTATCCAGTCAGGAAGCACGGGATCAGGGACCAGCTTAATGAAGCACTCTGGCTGCCTCTTGGTGGAGGGGGTGCATTGCGCTGAGGGGAATCACATTCACCTGGACTGCTGGGATTCCTCAGAGCCAGCAGGGGAAAAGACTAAGTCCACTGACCCACAGAGATCGTGGCCATCCCTTCCCCCAGGGGTTTCATCCCAGGGAGAACAGAGTTCTGTCCATAAACCCCTGGCTGGAGTTGGTGAAATTCCTGCAGGGAAGCCCCACCCAGTGAGGAGGGATGGGGCCAGGTCCAGCCTAAAGAGGGAGTCTGGCCACTATCTGCCACAGTCTCTGTGCTGCACTGTGAGGAATTCCTCCTGGGTCCAAACCACCCAGTTTTCTCCGGCACCAGAAGAGGAAAACAGCAGACTGGAACTGCAGTGATGGCAGCCAGTGATGGTGGCCACCCCTTCCTCCGAAAGTTCAGTTGTCTGAGGCAGTAGGTAGCCAAAGGGATGGCAGCTGCCCCTCTCCTCAGGAATTTGGTAGTCTTAGGCAGTCTCCAGCTGAGTGTCCACTGAGATTCTGCACAGCACTGTGCTTGGGACTCAACGCCCTGGTGGCGTGGGCTCCTGAGGGAATCTCCTTATCCACAGGTTGCACAGATCTGTGGATAAAGCGTGACTTTCCAGGTAGGGGTAGCACAATCGCTCACCGCCTCCCTTGGCTTGGGGTAGGAGATCCCCATTCCCCTTGTGGCTACCAGGTGGGATTCACTCGCTGGATTCACCAGCAGGATTCACTCGCTGTTTGTGTCCTTGGTGAGGGCCTCTGACCGCAACTGTTTCTAGTCCACCATCTTGGCCCCTCCCTGGCTGGTTATTCTTGTTTGAGGAATTGAGACTGTTTATTTAAAATGTAGAGATAAGTTGAATCTCTGTATACTATTTTCTTCCAATATGTTTTCATTTTTCTTCTGGCACGTATCTAGGCTTCAGGACACAAGTTATTCTAGAACCTTGATTAAATCATAGTTTTAGTGATTAAGATCATAGTTAATATATAAAGCTTCTATGGGCAACAAAAAATGTAAAAACTTTTTCTTATTTTTGGTCTCTAATCTCTTATCATTGTTCCATGGCTGTATTGAGTCTAGCAAAAGTTTTGCTTAACCTTAAAGCTTCTTACCTGCCACCTTTACAATTAGCAATTGCCTGGAGAGGAAGTGTGGTGATATACATCAGTTTAACCTTTCTTGTTCTGCTCTTTTTCTGGAAGAAAATTCCCTACAAATTTTCCCTACAAATTCTCGTTGCCTTGGTAGTTCTCTTATATCTTCAAGTTAATTAAAGATATATTTTGTCTAGACTTTCACAGTGGAAAGATTGGTCTGAAATATACTAGTCTACTATTGTCCAAGGGAACTCTTAATATGTTTCTGTAAAAGGGACACATTTTGGAGGCCTGGGAGAGGTCTAAGGAAGTGGGAAACCCACAGAACCTCTTTTATCAATTACCTAGAATCCACATATGACTTCAATTTATTCCATATGATTAGAAATTAACATATGTAGAGAAATATATTTTGTTTTGTGTTTCTAAAGCAATGCAGAGAAAGCAGCCTTTTTAAAAACATGGTATACTCACTTATAAGTGGGAGCTAAATGATGAGAACACATGGACACATGGAGGGGACAACACACACTGGGGCCTACTGGAGGGTGGAGGGTGGGAGAAGAAAGAGGATCGGGAGAAATAACTAATGGGTACTAAGCTTAATACCTGGATAATGAAATAATCTGTACAACAAATTCCCATGACACAAGCTTACCTATATAACAAACCTGCACCTGTACCCCTGAACTTAAAATAAAAGTTAAAAAGATAATGGTATATTAGACAAGACCCAAATAGCTATAAAAGGCACTAATCCTTACCTTCCCTTTCTTAGGAATCTTTCAAAAAAATGGAGATTTATGGTGCCCTTTTGGTGAAATTTAAAATAAATTGCTAAAATAATATAAATGATTATATTAAATATATGGATTTTGACAATATTGTGAATTAATTCATTCAACAAATATTTATTGATATTTTCCAGGGACTATTCTAAGCAGTAAGAATATGCCTGTATTAATCATGATTTTTATTTTCTATATTTTATAATTCTTTGACATCCAGAGGTCTCATGAAACAAATGGACGGTGCCCTTCGGGATTAGCTAATTTCTAGAGATAACAAACAACTTACCTGTAAACTCATCTTTGATATGCAAACCAGAAAATTCTGAGACCTTAGCCCAGCCTGCTTCCTTTATTCAGGCTCCTGCAGTCTAGAACACTATCCTCCTGCCCTGGATTACCCCAGCATTAGACAATAGACAGGTAGAGAGCACCCTTACAGCATAGAGCCTGCCTAAATTATTCAAACTGTCTAACCCTGAATCTGCTCAGCAGCTTACCCCGCTTGGCCCATTTCTTCCTAAGAAAACCACAGTAAAACCTTTTTCCCACACTTCTTGCTCCTTCTACCTTCTGACCCGACCCTGGTGCTTCCTTGTGTAGCCCTGTGCAGCTTGGCAGGTCTTCTTCTCTTGGGAACGCTGACTAACGAACTGTGTTTTCAGTGGCTATTCTCTCCTGATCTGTTGGTCTTACCATACTGAATAAAAATGAAATCCTGGATGCATTTTAAAACAACAGCTACAAACAAGGCCTGTGTTCTCTTAGAGGATAGAGACACTAAATGAATGAACAAATAATGTTAGAAGGTTATAAAGTCTCTGAAAAAAATAAAACAGTGTTGTGAGAGCAGCTGGTGATAGGGCTAATTTAGAATGGAGAAGGAAGAGTTCAGTGGGGAGGTGGTGACTTTTGAAAGGACGTCAGAATGTAGGAGACGCTTGGCTCTAAGAATGCTGTAGATGGCGAGGATTCTGGGTGTGAACTTAGACATTTTTGTTTACTAGAAACTGTGTGCCAACTAATCAGGTTGAATTTCTTTTCTTTTTCCTTTTTTTTTTTTTGAGACAGGGTCTCACTCTGTCACCCAGGCTGGAGTGTGCAGTGGTGCAATCTTGGCTCACTGCAACCTCCACCTCCTGGGTTCAAGCGATTCTCCTGTCTCAGCCTCCCGAGTAGCTGGGACTACAGGCATGCACCACCATGCCCAGCTAATTTTTGTATTTTTAGTATAGACAGGGTTTTGACATGTTGGCTAGGCTGATCTCAAACCCCTGACTTCAGGTGATCCACCCGCCTTAGCCTCCCAAAGTGCTAGGATTACAAGTGTGAGCCACTGCACCCGGCCCAGATTGAATTTAATTGATAGGTACTCGGTAGCAATAATTCCATCTTCACCCACATGGATGCCCCATCTCCCATTTTGCCACATATCAGATTCTAAAACCTACGATTGATAGGGGAATAAATACAGCTTTAGATATATTGGTACTAACTATGAGCTAAAAGTGACCACGTATGGCTGAAATAAAAGGTATTAATATCTTTATTTGCCTTAGAAAAATTAAAAGCTGACACCAACCATTAAACTAAAAGTGTATCTGAGAGGTGGTCACAATTGTCTTGATAGGCAATCCTCCCTGATTATCATTTTTATTCTCTTTGAATAAAATGAACAAAGATAACAGAGAAAGGTAAGTGATTTTTTTCTCTTTTGATTTTAACAAAACTGATTAATTTTATCCTGATCCTCTTACAAAAGAAAATCAGAGGTTGGCATTACTGCCTGTGGGAGCAAGGCAACACCTTTACCTAATAAAATACCTTTTTGGATAGGTATGAATAACACTATATTGTACTAGCCTGAATTCTAATTTTTGAAGAGCAACAGACGAGTTCAGCATAGATAATCCAGAACTGATCACAGCTGCTCCAGCCAGAGAGTCATTTTAACTCATAATGGGAGTGACATAATGTTACAGAAGAATCCGAACACGATTATTCACGAGGAAGTCTTTTGAACCAGAATTAAAATAAAGGCATTTACCCAGAAAATGTAGAAGACACAGACTTCGAAGCACATGTCACCCAGATCATAAAGTTTTGAAGGAAAAAACTGATTCATTGCTGAAAGCTATTCAATATGGTGACTTGCTCTATGACAGCATATTTGGTCTGAAATTTTTGAGAATTTTTTTAAAGAACACTCATTACGAGAATTACACCTCTGATATGACCAGATTCTAAAGAATGTCAGGCACCATATGAGATCATTTCCATTCATTATTTATAGTAATGCTTAAAACTCTGAAAGATAATTGAAAATATTAAGTATAGGCCACCAGATCTTCCCATCTCAGTTATTTACCCAAGTGAAAGAAAAACACATTCAAACGAAAACTTGTATGTGTATTTATTTCTATGGCAACTTTATTCATCATAGCCAGAACCTGGGGTGAGTGGGGAGAACAAAATCATCCATCAACAGGTAAATGGATAAACAAAATAAAGTATATCCATACAATGGAATACTACTCAGCCATTACAAGGAAAAAATAGAAAATCAGAACTACTGTCACACACTCAATATGAGTGAAAGAACTCAGGCACAACAGATCTCATTCATAGGAAATGTGAACCAATCTATGATGACAAAGTGTAGATGAATGGCTGTTACAGAGAAATAAAAAGGCATAGATTACCAGGGGGCATGAGTAACCTTTGTTAGTGATGAAAATGCTCTGCATGATTTTAGTGGAGGTCTTATTGCCATGTAGAACTGTCGGATTACATCAAATGAGTGCACTTTAAATGGGGGTAATTTATTATAGACTTGATAAAGTAAGGAAAAATACAAAAGAAATGAGGGAACCAAAGCTGAGAGAAATTAAGGAACCTGTCCAAAGTTGTACCACTCCTAAGTAGCAGGAACAAGGACAGGATTACTTTTTAGCTTTTTCTGGCCCTAAATCTTAAGTACTTTTCACTGCATCATATGTAAGAAAAAATAATTCTTGAAGGCATTTTCTTCTTTAGGCTTTCAGAATTGTAACTATTTCATGTTAGCATTCATTATGCTATTAATTTTAATATTCAAAAGTCTTCCAAGTTACTTATAGTACTATAACTTTTAGGTATGAGATATAAAAATAAGGTTTTTATCTGGAAAATGTATCTATGACAGGAAGTCTTGAAAATGTGTGAATTTTTAGAAGAAGCTATTTGGAGAGGGTCATTATATAAATAAAATATGTCTTTTATTTCATATTTTGCTGCTAAAATGATATTAAATACAGTATGTATTTTTTAGGACACTTAAATGGGAGGTTGGAAATTAAATATTTGGTTTTCATGTTTAGCTCAACGGTGAATTTGAAGATTCTTTGTTCCATTATCAGTACATGTGCCTATATAGAGGTTCAAAGTATCCTTTTAATGCTTTTCTCTATTGGACAGTTAAAGAAATTCAGACCACACAATTTTTGGCAGCATGTGGGAGAATATTAAATAGAAGGCACTCAATAATGTTTAAGGAACAAATGAATGAATAAATATGGAAAAGATATTTTTGAAGTTTCCTTAATCAATAAGAACTTAATAACTCATCATCACCATATAAATGGGAGGTTTTTGAGACAATCTTTATGCTGTTAGTATTTCTTTCTAATTTGCATGCATATATGTTATGTAGACAAGATAGTTCATTTATCAGCTTATTCTGATGTGATGAACCAAGGCATGGGTGACAATTTCCTAGTAAGATATTCTTGCAATTCTCAGTTACAGTGAATAGACGAATAACATCAGGTTGGTAAAGCAGATAAAAGTGGCTGAAAGAGAATTGTGAATGGGATCAAATTGAAAGGAAGTACTAACTATCAAAGCAAAGATTCACCCCAAGATGACCTGTTTGCCACAATGTAAAATTCTGTCATATAATATTATTCCAGTCAAATGAAAAATAAGTTGGGAGCAAAAAAAATAAGTGACTTTTTGTTTTGCTTTAGTATTAGCAAAACCATCTGCTGAATTTAATCTCGATCATACAAATGCAAATCAAGGAATGAAGGCCTAGATGCTACAGTGGGATGAGAAATTTAGCAAAAACAAAACTAAACTAAAACAGCAACAAAAAACTGCCTTTACATAGGTATGACCTCATGTTTAATCACATAGTTTGTTCCAGGTTAGGAAATACTTTGTATATATCTCCCTCACCCTGTTTAGGGTAGAGATAAAAGTTTTTCCCTCTTGTCATCAAAGTATACCCATTGTTTCCAATAAATATAACAAAATATAAATGATATCTTAAAACCATGATATTAGATAATTATCATCATTGCTCTATTGTAAAGATATTGAAATAATTAATGTCACTGTCTCAAATATTGACTACAGTAAAAATGCTGATTCTGAGAACATTTGTGTTATAAAGCATGCTGACATTGCTGAACATAGGATGAAAATTAACAGAGGAAGTTTTTATTTCATTTCCAAGATACTCAGTTTTGTTAATGTTTAGGCTACACTCTTCTTTATATGTATTGGATTTAACCTGTTATAGAGGGCAGCTGTAGAACTAGCACCTTGAAGTGTAGAGTGAAGTTAGTGTAAAAGGAACCTAGGAGCCTTTAGTTATATTTACTGCTTTCCCCTACACTATAAAAACACTGCACCAGAGCTCAGGGGTCTAAGGATATATTTAGAGCTACCATCATGGGAAAAGTTAAGGAAAAGAGGCCACTAGCATAGGATGGAAGTGTGAGCTTTGCAATAAATTAGACTCCTGTTTAAATTTCTGGTTATACACTCACTAGATGCAAATCATTATGGAGCCAGTGTAGGAAACTAAACTATCTGAGGCTTTTCTTTTCCTCACACATACAATACTAATAGTAATAGTACTTAGCTTCCTGAACTGTTGTGAGTGCACCCTACTAGCCATAACAGGGCCACTGAAAGGTATCTACAATATAAATAGCCTTCTGATACTTTATTCATTGCCAACAAATGTACTGTTTTCATTTAAAACCTTTATATTTTGTAACTGTTGTTAGCATCACTAATGATAAAAATAGCTAATATTTCTCTAATGCTTTGCAGAATAAAATATGTTTTTAAATGTTCTTCAAAGAACTTTGATATTATACCAGTTTTAGACTTGACAATATTGAGATCTAGAGACCATAGACTGCATTACCCAAGGATGAACAAGCTACTACATGGTGGATATGGGTCTTAACAATTACTCAATCCAAAGTAAATGTTGATCAACTATCTATGCAGTCTAACACCCGTATTTCAGACCAAAGCTATGCAGCTACCTTGATTATTATAAGATCTAGGACTCAAATTTAAGTCTAACTGATACTTATTGACCTTGTGACACTGGACAGTAATTAAACCCTCTAAGCTAATTTTACACATCTATAAAATTGGGACTATATATGACCCCTATGATATGCTTTTTGTGAGTATCAATAATCTCAAATTTGTGTTATTGGCAGTAATTGTTTCAGGACCTTTGATGCAACATCTCCTTATTCATTGGAATAAATTGAAATTTAACTATAAGTGCCCATTTGCCAAAATTGACAAGAAACATAATAGTAGCAACTTTGTGTCTTTTTCTACCTACCTTATATGGTATCAGGAAACCCAGTCAGTCACCACACTTGATCCTTTCCCAAGTTCTCTGCTATAAGATGTGTAGACTTCTTGTTGACTCTAATCCTTCTATGCCAGGCTGGTCATAAGGACCAAAGCTCTCTAAAGTCATTGTGTCCAGTGTCCAACCTGCTCAGGCACTTAGGCAGTACCAGTGCTCTTCCACACCCATCTCAAGTCCATGCTTCTACAACTATGGAGATGTAAGATGTAATTCTTAGAGAAAAGAGCTCTTCAATGTGTAAAAGTCACAGCCACTCCACTTTCTCCCTGCTCTACTTTAATATTTCCTTGGATCTATTGTTGAGGCCACAGAGTGAAAGATCTGCAGGCCAGCGAAGACTTTCGTTCTTAGGGTCACAAAATTCAGGTCACACTGTGATTAAAAATAATAAAGGATTCTCATTCATTAAAAGGCAGAAAATGTCACAATTTTCAATTTCTTCTCAAGAAATCATGAGATTCAGCATCACTAGGCTGGTATTCTTGTAAGGTGAAAGTAGACTGGAGCTGAGAGGAATGGCTTTCACCTTCTATTTGCCAAAGTTCTACCATTGTCCTCTTGACACTGAGGCTATAGCTCAGTGACTATTTGTCATCCTACTTTCCCCATTGTATCTCTGAACATTCTTTCTGGCTCTTTCACTCTTTTAAATTACCTGTCCACTCCCTGGGATCTGTTTGCTACTGCTGAAATTTATAAAAATAAAGTAATATAGCACTGTTTCTTTTTCCTTCATAAAACTTATCTCAGTATATAATCATACATTTATGGTTGTCATTCTCACCCACCAGACCATAGTTTCCAAAAGCTGGCACTCAGCCTTATTTTATTCACTATTTTGCTCCTAGAATGGACATAGAAGGTCCTCAATAACTATTGGAATGGATGAGTAAAATATAATCCTATAACTGTTTCTTGGAATTAAGAACACAAATTGTTGACATCACTCTGGTTCTTTATCAATAAACAACGTATCATAAAATTTAAAATCAGACCATCTTACATCAGAACAAATGTTAATAAGTAACCAAGCTTCACATCTTCACATGCTACATTGATCATGTTTATTAATTTTGTTATTAGTAACATGATAGAATTTGATAGAATTTTCTATTTGTAATATATATGTATGTGTGTGTGTGTGTATATATATATATATAGTACATGTGTTAAAACAACAACATTAAACCTCCCTGTATATAAAGACAACAAAATAAAGTTAATAATGCAGTATAACTTATTGTTTGCTTTCAGAGAACATGGATCCTAGAGTAAGGAATGAACGAAATATTTCAATCCATAGTTTCTGTAGTCAGATCTAATCCCCAAGTGCCTCTCACAGTATGAGCCCCTCACTTTGCTTATGAGAATCTAACAGGGAGTTGTTGTTTAATGGGTATAAAATTTCCTTTACACAAGATGATTAGGTTTGAGAGATCTGCTGTACAACATTGTTAAGAGTTCCTGTTATATGTTCAAATCAAAATTTTAAAAATACTAAATTGTTTCAAAATATATACATTTTATAATCCAGCCCCAAATCTAGTAGTAGGTCTTGGTGGCAGCAGCAATAGCAATAGTACTAGTTGAAATATTATGGTGTTAATAATAAGAATAACAATCAAAATAATAATAATAATCCAGTGCTGCAAGAAAAACAGATGATTTGGACTAATGAAAAATGGTTCTAAGCTTTCAGTATCATGCAATATCTGTGTTTTTTCCAATTGTATAGCCTAATTAAATTTTGTCACTGCACCAAAATATTAAGGCACAGTGTCTGTTCTTAAAGAGCTTATGATATAGAAATGAAAGACAAATATGTAAACAACCTACCTTAACACAATATGATGCCTGGTGTTCTACTGCTGAAAACAAAGGATGATTGGAAGCAGCAGAGCAATCCTGATCAGGTCTACCTGGAGGTCGGGAAAATTTTCAGAGAAAATAAACATTACACTTATACACACAGAGAGGTATTAAGTATTTGCATAAGTACACTTATATGGATATATACAAATGCATATGTATATTTACATGCATATATGTATGTGAATATTTAGAATTATCACATGCCATTAGGAATACATGCAAATGCTACATTTATTTTCACTACCTATGGTTGCACAATGGGTTGCTATGACAACAGAGATTAATTACAGGCCTTTCTATTACAAATCTTAACTTTTCAGAACTTGAAGGTTTCAGCAGTCTTATACATGTACATTTTATCTTGAAAAATATAATCCTGGCCAGGCGCAGTGGCTCACGCCTGTAATCCCAGCACTTTGGGAGGCCGAGGCAGGTGGATCACCTGAGGTCAGGAGTTCAAGACCAGCCTCACCAACATGGCCAAAACCCATCTCTACTAAAAATACAAAATTAGCTAGGCATAGTGGTGCATGTTTGTAATCCCAGCTATTCGGGAGACTGAGGGAGGAGAATCTCTTGAACCTGGGAGATGGAGTTTGCAGTGAGCCAAATCATGCCACTGCACTCCAGCCTGGGCGACAGAGCAAGACTCTGTCTCTCTCTGTCTCTGTCTCTGTCTCTCTCTCTGTCTGTCTGTCTCTCTCTCTCTCTCTCTATATATATATATATATATACATATATATATATATATATATATTCCTATCATGTGCTGAACTATTTGTACAGCCCGCTTTATCTGCATTTCCAACTAAGATATACTTTGATTTTAAGAAACTCTTTTTTCTTAGTTTCAACTTCCTTCTCAGTATGTAAATATAAATAATCCACTTGCATATTATTTTTTTTCAAAATAAACTAACAAAATACCCTATTAATTAGGTGAAAGGAAATAATGGTGCTTTATTCCTTATTTGTTAATGCAAATCCCATCGTTATTACTGTATCATTAGAAGGAAATAGAAAAACTTATTTTTTCTTTTTTGTAGCTATTATCATGTTAGTTTTGACTGAAGATAGAGATGAAAGATTTCTTGTCAGAAAAACAATGTTTCCAATGTCAATATTGCTGTCATTATTCTTGTGATTGTTAATGCTGAGTGTCAACTTGATTGGATTGAAGGATACAAAGTATTGATCCTGGGTGTATCTGTGGTGGTGTTGCCGAAAGAGATTAACATTTGAGTCAGTGGGCTGGGAAAGTCAGACCCACCCTTAATCTGGGTGGGTACAATCTAGTCAGCTGCCCTCGTAGCTAGAATATAAGCAGGCAGAAAAATGTGAAAAGAGAGATTGGTCTAGCCTCCCAGCCTACATCTTTCTCCCCACCGGATGCTTCCTGCCCTTGAACATCAGACTCCAAGTTCTTCAGTTTTGGAACTCAGACTGGCTCTCCTTGCTCCTCAGCCTGCTGAGGGACTATTGTGGGACCTTGTGATCATGCACGTTAATACTTAATAAACTCCCCTCTATATATATACTTATAAAAACACATCTTTTTCAGAATATATGTATATATATTTCATTCACTCTGTCCCTCTAGAGAAGCCTAATAGATTTCTCAATGAATTCAAAATCTATAAAGATTACATTGAATTTTGATACTATTATAAGGTATATTTTCGTCTATAGTGTCATTCACAACGCCTACCAGTCTACCACGTCTTAGGCTCTTCATTTTTGAAAAAAAAAAGCTTAATCAAATTTGGAGAATATCTACTTGTTTAGCCAATTGAAATAGGATAATTTCATCACTAATAGAGGCCTCATCATTAGTACCTTCAAAAAACATTTTAAAACAAAAACAATATTTTACCCAGCGAAGGATTTGGATTTGAACATGCTTTAGATACCTAATAATTTTCTGTGCCTAGCATGTTAAATTAAAGGCAGAAGTACAAACTAACTCCTCAATAGCAGGAAGAGACTGTTAACTTATGTACAAATACCTTTTGGGGTGTAAAAACATTTTCTTTATGATTTGAAAATAATATTATTTGTTCCTAATTCTGACCCTGCAGCCTACTTAATAAGCAAACATGCATTTAATCCCTGCTGTATTTCACTACAAAGCTATTACTCATCAT
Organism: Homo sapiens; assembly: GCF_000001405.40. NCBI lineage: Eukaryota > Metazoa > Chordata > Mammalia > Primates > Hominidae > Homo > Homo sapiens. Next base: position 61,042,511 of record NC_000016.10, read on the forward strand.
ACTTGGCCATGAAATATGGCTCCTATCCTCAGAGGGCTTCTGTTTTTCTCTGTTTTGGTTTCCCTGAAAGCAGAACCTGAGACACGTACTTGGAATGTAGATAGTTTATTTTGAGATAATTCTGAGAATGCCAGGTAAGGGAAATGGGATAGTGAGACAGGGTCAGAAAGAAACTTAATAAAGAGTGAGTTATTGAACTGATTACTGTTGGTTACTACACTAGTCTTTCGGATCTCAATCCAATCAGAGTCTTTCCAAAGTAGGTGTATAGAATGCATGTTGAAATCCTTCCAAGGGATAGGAAGATGACAGTACATATCCTTGGGCTCCTATTCCCATTATGTGCGAACTACCTCCAGCAGCTGGCTTTCACAGCTTCTGAGAAAACAAAAGCAGAAAAGCCTCTATCAAGCGGGAACCTGGGCTGAGAGTATAGAGCTGTCCACTGTAAGAGTGCTGAAGTGGGCAGAGAAGGGGATGCTACATGGCTTTTGGCATGAATGTTACATGCTCTTTCAAGACAAATGAGCACAATTTGTGCCCAACTTATTTGCTCATAGAGTGACTTTAAAAATATAAGATGAAGAGATTAGATGCAGCTGGGATATGGTGAAAGTTCCTAGGAATGTATGCAAGACAATCTGAGCCTGAATTCCTCAACTTAAAACTCTACAGCAGAAAAATAGCAAAGCTCCCAAAATAGCATAATAGGTTGTCAACTGCCTCCAACTTGTCTACTTTAACGGTTTAATCTCTTTTGCCTTCTCATAGACATTTATCCTCCTCTAGGAATATCAAACTATTAACAATTCCCTGAACATGTAAACCCTGAACATATTTGCAAAGGTTGTTCTCTTTTACCAGAGGGACCTTTCTTGAAGTGTCTAATGGAATAATATTACATATGTTTGAAGACTTAGATTAATAGAGGTAACATTAAGCCTCCTGTGACCCACCCAAAGTGAGTGCATTTCCCCTGTACACGACCCCCTACCACAGATTGACAAAAGTATATGGTAACAGGCACACATGCCTTTGCAGCAGTTGCAAGTTATTGCAATATTTATTAATCTGCTGGTCTCTTGAAATTCTAGGGACTCCAAAAGTGTCTTGTATTTATAATACCCTGTAAATAGTAAGCAAAATGTATGCTTGACAAATGCAGTCAATTAAGGTGATGTAACTTCTCCTGTATTCTGTCAGGCTTTATTTTTTATTACAGAACATATGAGACAGATGTGTTTTTCACTCCAGTTTGAATTCTTCAAAATTTATTTAACATATTTAATGAAACTTAAGCATATCAATAAGAATGCAGAGTCATTCCTATAAGTTTGACCTGATAACACACACTTCTGCAGATTGCTTTTATATAATATTTTTCTTCAAAGAGTTGTGTTGAGTTTTAAGAATGCTCCATAAGCATTGTTCCACATCTTTGAAATTTTCTGGTCTCTGTAAGTCTTTCTCTGAATATGAACAAGGATAAAGACCAAACATAGAAACAGAGACTGACTTACAATTCATAGATCTGACATTCATATTTGAATACTTTTTATATATATCTATCTATTTACTTTTTGACATCTCAAGGATACGTTAATACAGAGCATTGATACATTTATATAGAGGGTAATCTTGTTTGGTTCATCCTGGGCATGATTAGAATAAAGGACTAGTTTAATCAGTGTAAGAGCGACAATTGACTAGCCTCAATTTAAGAAAAAGCCTCATCACCAATCTGACTAAAACACTCTATTATGCTTTTATGACTCTACTGAATTACATCTGTGTCATTGGCAAAGCAAGGCTTTTATATTGATTATCTGCAATGGAGCATTGAAAAGGAACTGTGATATTAGCGGAACTGAACCAGGAGTTAGTGCCAAATGTGAATCTGGGTCACAGAACATGCAAACATTATGTGCCCATAGACAAATCACTGGCTTTCAGCATACTTGTTTGATAAATATGAAGGATGGACTAAATTAATTGTACCTTCTATGAGGTGTTCCACAGGCTCTTATGAGAACGTCCCCAGAGATAACCTATAATCTGAATTATAATGCATCTTTTACCAGTTGCTGAAATCTAATAGCTCATGGTAACAACAACAACAAAATGTGAATTTGACTACATTTGAAGGTCAATGTAGATATGTGTGGTAAATTCTCTTGAAATGATAGCATATTAAAATGCACTGAACACCGAAAGAATACCATAATCCTCCAGGTTCTAATCTCTCTCTCTCTCTCTCTCTCTCTCTCTGACCTCCCTTCATTTATTTTCTTAGTATTCTCTTCATTCTTTCTCATTCTATGCTCAAAAAGAGAAATTTGGTTCGCAAATTTTGCCATTCTCTGTATACCTCAGCACAACTAAGGTCTGAAAACTGTCAGATAAATTTAAAATTCTATCTCTTGGGCATTTTGTGAAGATGAAAGACAGCTTTCTTTAGCATTTGTCTCATTTCATTTCAGGTGCATGAATGCAGGTGCACAAATGCATGAGTGCACATGTGCACACATGCACAAAGCATAGGGATCAATCTCAGGGGATTCATATATACTGTGAAATTCACACATGGTTTGCCTCCTTACTGATAAACCATGAAATAGTTCCAGAAAAATAGCTTCTACTGGATAAATACTAATTCGAATATTTTTAATGTTTGGAATTAAGAGATATTTTCTAGGTTGCTATTTATCTTCTACACTAGATTTTTCATATTTTGAAATATCATGAGAGAACTAGCAGGCACAATATTCTTTTTAAGAACTTATACATCTTTCTTTTTGGTAGTTTTTGAAATAAATTTAACATAGCTATAGACTAAAAGGCTATTTCAATAAAGTTAAGACTAAATGTAGAGATTTTAACATCTCTGTCTCATACTATTACCATAGTGTTAAGGAAAAATGAAGTCCTGAACAAATATTAAATATTCATCAGATATACATGATAATTGTCTGTAGGGCAAAGTACTACATTGAAGGGAAAATAGTATTTACAGCAGAACAGAAGGACTTAATCATGTGTTACCCATTGTTATGTGACTTTATTTAACTTGTTTTACCTATTTAACCTGGAGGTAATTATGTTATGTGAAATAACATAATTTTGCTAGATAAGGATAGGAAAATTAAGAAGAAAAAATGATGATCTATGTGAATGTTGTGGCACAGTGTGTGAGTGACACATAATACACATTCAAATTGTATTATTCATCCCTATTTTCAAGAGGCTTATTTTTAAACATCCAATATTTGAAAATTTTATTCTGATTAATAAAAGATAACTTTTATTTTCTATGCTAGATTGTATTTTAACATCTATTGCTTTATGTGTAAAGGACAAAATGTAGGCCAACTCTAGAGACAGCAGTATACTACTTTGAGTGTTTTGGGAGAAACAGTTTTAGTTCCCTGAGGAAGACATGACTTTTGGAAACAAAGACTATCCATGCTGTGATGTGTCTGTAGAACTGATGAATGATCGAGCTGGGACCTACAAATTTGAAGTAAAAAGTAATGAAAACCATCTCAGAGAGAAGTTCTAGAAATATTTGGAACAAATTAAGAGTCATTTGAAAACGTGTAGCCTCTGAAGCTAATGATAGCAACTATTATCACGTGATCTTTCCTCAAACCACTTTAAAAATAATTGACAGATTACATATGCTGCACCTCAGGTATTTTCTATTAATTCCAGGAACACTGCCCTTTCCCTAATGTTTCCTGGGATTCTATGATTTAAGATAATCCGATCCATTTTGATCATGTTTCTTTGCTGGCCTGCAGCTTTGACCAATTTGCTCTGACTTTCTATGAAAGAAATCACATACTCTCATTTTTAAATTCATCTCTCACATTCTGGCTTTCAACAAACGTCTGAGTTCAATTATGTAAGTTACAAAGCAGAATTTGCTCCCCAGGGTCCAGTGACACTAAGAGGGTTTGTTCAGGTCCAGTTCAAACTTCTTCATCCCTCAAATTCAGAACCACTGTCACTTCCTCTCCCAATAGGTTGTACACTCTTTTTTATGCCATATCAAAATTTAAAAGATATTTATCTTTGTTAATATTCAGAGAAGGACTTGCAGAAACCGGAAAATTATTTTGAAGTATTTTAATTCAATACCATTTTATTGGGAGCTATTTTTTGTTTTTGAGAGAGTCTTGTTCTGTCGCCCAAGGTGGAGTGCAATGGTGTGATCTCGGCTCTCTGCAACCTCCACCTATTGGAGTTTTTAACATGAAGGAGTATTGATTTTACAGGAAGCCATTTTTGCATCTATTGAGATAATCATGTGGGTTTTTTTCCTTTAGTTATGTTTATGTAATTAATCACATTTATTAATTTGCATATGTTGAACCAACCTTGTATCCCAGAAATAAAGCCTTCTTGATTATGGTGAATAAGCTTTTCTATGCGCTGCTGGATTTAGTTTGCCAGTATTTTGTTGAGGATTATTGCATTGATGTTCATCAAGAATATTGGCCTGAAGTTTTATTGTTTTTGTGTCTCCACCAGGTTTGGGTATCAGGATGATGCTGGCATCATAGAATGAATTAGGAAGGAGTCCCTCCTCCTCAATTTTTTTGGAATGATTTTAGCAGGAATGCTGTCAGCTCTTTGTTGTATGTCTGGTAGAATTTGGCTGTGAATCCGTCTGGTCCTGCGCTTTTTTATGATTGATAGGGTATTTATTACTGTTTCAATTTCGGAGCTCATTATTGGTCTATTCAGGAATTCAATGTATTCCTGATTCAGTCTTGGGAGTGTGTATGTGTCCAGGAATTTATCCATTTCTTCTAGATTTTCTTGTTTTTGTACATAAGGTTGTTCATAATATTCCCTAATGGTTGTTTGTATTTCTGTGGGTCACTCAAAATAATATACTGCAGTCTTTGAAGTGAACTGACCTTCATTTTGTCCTTTATATATAAAGCAATAGATGCTAAAATGCAATTTAGCATAGAAAGTAAATGTTATCTTTTATTAATTACAATAAGATTTTCAAATCTTAGATCTTTAAAAACAAACCTCTCTGTCATTTCTAATTGTGTTTATTTGGATCTTTTCTCTTTTCTTCTTATTAATCTAGCTAGTGGTCTACCTATTTCAATATTTTTTTCAGAAAACTAACTCCTGGATTTGTTGATCATTTGAATGGGTTTTTTGTGTCTCAATCTCCTTTAGTTCAACTCTAATTTTGGTTCTTTCTTTCTTTTCTTTCTTTTTTTTTTTTTTTTGTGATACAGAATCTGTTGCCTAGGCTGGAGTGCAGTGGCAAGATTTCAGCTAATCCAACCTCCACCTCCCAGGTTCAAGCAATTCTCATGCCTCAGCCTCCCAAGTAGCTGGGACTACAGGTGTGGACCACAACATACAGCTAATTTTTGTATTTTCTGGTGGAGATGTGGTTTCACCATGTTGGCCAAAGTGCTGGGACTGCAGGCATGAGCCACTGGGCCTGAACTGATTTTGGTTATTCCTTGTTTTTTGTTGTTGTTGTTGTTGTTGTTTTTGTTTTTGGGTTTTTTTTTTTTGTTTATTTGTTTTCTTTTCTAACTTGGGATTGGTTTGCTCTTGGTTCTCTAGTTATTTCAGTTGTGATCTTAGGTTTTAAGTTGAGCTCATTCTAACTTTTGGATGTGGGCATTTAATTCTATAAATTTGCCTCTTAACACTATCTTAGCTGTGTTCCAGAGATTCTGGCATGTTTTGTCTTTTTTCTCATTAGTTTCAAAGAACTTCTTGATTTCTTCATTAATTTCATTATTTACCAAAAAGTCATTCAGGAGCAGGTTATTCAATTTCCATTTAATTGTATAGTTTTGAGCGATTTTCTTTGACTTAATTTCTAATTTTATTGCACTGTGGTCCAAAAGAGTGGTTGTTATAATTTCAGTTCTTTTGCATTTACTGAGCATTGTTTTATGTCTGATCATGCGGTAGATTTTAGAATATGTGCCATGTGGCAATGAGAAGAATGTTCCTTCTATTTTGGGGGGGTGGAGAGTTCTGTAGATGTCCATTCAGTTCATTTGATCCAGTGCTGAGTTCAGGTACTAAATATCTTTGTTAAGTTTCTGCCTCAATGATCTGTCTCATACTGTCAGTGGGATTTTGAAGCTTCCAACTATTATTGTGTCAGAGACTAAGTCTCTTGAAGCTCTCTGTGAATATGCTTTATGAATCTGGATGCTTCTGTGTTGGGTGCATATATATTTAGAATAGTTAGGTCTTCTTGTTTAATTAATCTCTTTACCATTGTGTAATTATATTCTTTGTCTTAATTTATCTTTGTTGGTTTAAAGTCTATTTTGTCTGAAATTATAATTGCAGCTTCTGCATTTTTGTTTTCCATTTGCCTGATAGATTTTTATCCATCCCTTGACTTTGAGCCTATGTGTGCCACTGCATGCAAGATTGGTCTCTTGAAGACAGTGTATCATTGGGTCTTGCTTCTTTATCCATCTTGCCACTCTGTGCCTTTTAATTGGGGCATTTAGCCCATTTACACTCAAGGTTAGTATGGATAGGTGTGGATTTGATCCCATCATCATGATGTTAGCTCGTTATTATGGAGACTTATTTGTGTGGTTGCTTTATAGTGTAACTGGTTTGCGTACTTAAGTGTGTTTTTGTAGTGGCTGATGATAGTCTTTCCTTTCCACATTTAGCAATTTCTTCATGAGGTTTTGTAAGGTAGGTCTGGTGGTAACAAATTCCCTTGGCATTTGTTTATCTGAAAAGGATTTTATTTCTCCTTTGTTTATGAAGCTTAGTTTAGCCAGATATAACTTTTTTCCTGTTTTTTTTTTTTAATTTCAATAGGTTTTTGGAGGAAAAGGTGGTGCTTGGTTGCATGGATAAGTTCTTTAGTGGTGATTTCTGAGAATTTGGTGTACCCATCACCCAAGCAGTGTACACTGTACTCAATATGTAGTCTTTAAGATAGGAAATTTTTGGCTGAAATTTCTTCAAGAATGTCAAATGTTGGTCCCCAGTCTCTTCTGGCTTGTACGGTTTCTGTTGAGAGGTCTGCTGGTAGTCTGACGGGCTTTCATTTGTAGATGACCTGACTTTTCTCTCTAGCTTCCCTTAACATATTTTTTTCATTTTGACCTTGGAGAATCTGATGATCTTCTTGTGAAGTATCTTATTGGGGTTCTCCACATTTCCTAAATTTGAATGTTGGCCTCTTTAGCTAGGTTGGATAAGTGTTCATGAATGATACCCTGAAATATGTTTTCCAAGTTGCTTTCATTCTCCCAGTCTCTTTCAGGAACATCAGTGAGTCACACCCTTGGTCTCTGCATAATCCCATATTTCTTGAAGGGTTTGTTCATTCCTTTTCATTCTTTTTAATCTATTATTGTCTGACTGTCTTATTTCAGAAAGCCAGTCTTCAAGCTCTAAGGTTATTTTCCCAGGTTGGTCTATTTGACTATTTGCTATTGATACTGGCGATTGCACTAACAAATTCTTATAGTGTGTTTTTCAGGTCTTTCAGGTTGGTTACATTCTTTCCTATACTGACTATTTTGTCTGTCAGCTCCTGTATCATTTTATTGTGAGTCTTAGCTTCCTTGGATAGGGTTTTAACATATTCCTGCATGTCAATGATCTTCATTCCTATCCATATTCTGAATTCTATTTCTGTCATTTCAGCCTTCTCAGCTGGGTTCAGAACCCTTGCTGGAGAACTGGTGTAGTTGTTCGGAGGAAAGAAGGCACTCTCGCTTTTTTGGGTTGTCAGAGTTCTTGTCCTGGTTCTTTCTCAAATTTTGGGGCTGGTGTTCCTTCAGTCTTTCATGTTGCTGTCATTTGGATTTTTTTTTTTTTTTTGGTGTTGTTGTTCACCCTATTTGCTAACCTTGAGGGTTTGATTGTGGTATAGGTGGGTTCAGTCAACTGGCTTCATTTCTGGAGGATTAAAGGGGGTCCAGGCTCAGCTCAGGACTCCTGGACTGCATGCTCTATCTCTGGGGAACTGATATCAGTGGACTTTGTTCTCTGGCTCCTTGAAATTAGGAACCTGCTGCACTAGAAGGGCCGAGGGGCTCCCAGACCTCTGGTCCCGGCACTCCAGTGGATTTTGCCAGCCGAAGCATTTCATAGGGCGGTGTTAGTGGAATCCATCCTTGTTCATACATGCCAGCAGCAGCACCGGCGGCAGTACAGCAGGGTGCACACTCATCAGCTACGGCACAGTGCCAGTGGGTGGCAGGGTACTGGCCTCGGTGCAGGTGTTTGCAGCAGCAGAGGCAGCACAGCTCCGGGGGGCAGTGGGTCTCTACTGGTTACTGTGGGCATGGCTGTGCTGGTGGTAGTGTCAGCTTCAGAGTAGGTCGCTGGTGGACAGAGGACTATATTTGCTTTCTGTGCGTGTTCACACAGACAGATGTGACTGCTCAGTGTAAGGAGCAGGGAGGGTCTGCCGTTATCTGTGTCTAGTGTCGCTCCAGTGGGCAGTGTTGGTTCAGGGGCTGGGTACTGGCAGAGACGGGGACCAAATTGCCTTTGTCAATTAAGTAATCAATCGATTATGTGTGCTGTTCTTTGTACAGCAGCTACACAGTGCGTGTTTCATATCCACACTCAGTAAACACTACCTGGTGTCATTTGAGGCAGTTTCAGTTCTCTTCAGTCATTATACTGGATTTGACTTGGAAAAAAATTACAGAGAAATTTTTATCGAGCACTTTGAAGTAAACAACAATGGAGTGGAGATATGTACGGCATAAAATCATAAAGAAAGATACAAAAGTGTTGATTGTATCCCCAATGATGTTTGCAGTGTTCAGAAAATTTTAGATTCATTGCTTGTAATTTAGAGTATTCAGAACTTTTTTTCAGAACATTTGGACTAAATATTTATCAAGTGAATTAAGATGAATTTGAATTCTAATTCTGCACTTACTAGCTTTGTAGCTGGCAGTTTAAATTTCAGAGACAGAACTTCATCTTCAGTAAAAAGAGGTTTATTTCACATTTCTCACAGGGTTGGTGTTATGCTTATTTTACATGACTTGTCTAACAACATGAAGGAAAGCAAGTGGTCAATAACCTTTAGTTAACTTTTCTGTTACATAATAAGCAGTTTGGCAAAGGTTTGACTTTATGGTACAAAGAGTACAGCAAATGTGACATTTCAGGTCCATCCTAGAAATAGCATCTCTCTTTCAAATCAAGATAAATGATAACAGACTGTGGTTGCTTTATTGGCTATCCTTGTGCACATAGCAAATAGTTCTGAGCCCACAACTGAGCAGAGATATGCTATTGTATGGTACAGGATAAAAAATAAAGGCATCCACTGGTCTATGTCTTGCCCTACTGAGAAGGACAAATGATTTTCCTAAACAATGTTAGTTCAATATCCAATATAAAGTGAAATCAACCTGATCAGGTCATGTTGATGGAATACAGTGCCACTGTCACCTGTCTTTAGAGGGAATTTGAGTAGCATGCCAACAAAAACTGATTCTACATCTAAAGAATAGGCACTTATAAGGCTATTCTCTCTTACTCCTTGAACAGCTTGGATTTTTCATGATGACTGACTTTTAACAAAAATGCAAACAATGATTAACACCGAACAACAAGCATTCGAGGAAGTTTTATACACATTTTGTGGTTATTTATAATAATGAAATGTTAGAATACATCTAAATAAATATCTTACAACAGAGGAATAGTTATCAATCATGGCCCAAACACTTGACTGAAGGTGATGTATACATTAAAAATAGTGGCAATCAAGTATATCTTGATTATATTAAACTATATTTAAACATATAGTTTATATTAAACTGTATTTAAACATATAGTTTATATTAAACTGTATTTAAACATATAGTTTATATTGAACTGTATTTAAACATAGTTTATATTAAACTGTATATAAACATATAGTTTATATTAAACAGTATTTAAACATAGTTTATATTAAACTGTATTTAAGCATATAGTTTATATTAAACTGTATTTAAGCATATAGTTTATATTAAACTATATTTAAACATACGGTTCTGCAACACCAGAACCATATGTTTAAAGAATTTTTTTAAATGAGTTTATAAATAGTTTACCTTAAAATCATAACCATGTGAAAAAGCAGTTACAGGGTCTAAGAAGATAAGATTGATAAGGTCCAAAATTAGTAACATCTCTGTTAGAATGATTGCTATGTTCTTAACATCATTATCATGGTATATTGCTTTTATAATTCAAGATTAAAAATGACTGTCACAGTTAACTCTCAAAAAAAATGATCAACTCCTCTGAAAAACTAATTATAGCTGTGTAAATCTATGTGTTTCACAAGGGTATTTATCACAGTGTTGTTTTTTCTATTAATAAAAAATCAGGAACATCTTAAATGTTTAACAATACATGATTAGCTTAAAAAATTAATACATATACAATAGAAGGAATAATATGTAGGCTGTAAGTGTTACATTGTCAAAGATTATTTAATTATGTTAGAAAAGAATGTCAAGTGAGAAAAAAGCAGATGTGAAATTATATAAGACATCATTATATGCATATACATTGAAAAATTCCTGGAACTATGTAACATAACAACCAAAGTATTAACAGAAGTAATACAAGCAGTCTGTGGACAATTTAACAACTTCCCTTTATTTATTTACTTATTTAGTTTTCTTTAAGAATTTTAATCCCTGTTAAAATAATAACAGTAAGAAGTACTCTTTGGAGAGCTTATTCACTTTGATAATGTGTTTCCTAGGTTAGGTCAATGTCAGCTACAACAAATATCCAGCCCCCTGACTCGGAGTACTTTTGTAATCCATTCAATGCTTCATATTGCGGTAGGCATATAATAGGTACAAGAATCATTTTATCTTGTTTGATTCATAAGTAACTCAAGGGAAAGGGTGTCAATCTCTGAGAAACATCATCACCAGCCTTTGTAAAATTATTTTGATTATAAGTGATCCCAACACATTTATGTGTCTGAATCTTCCCCATCTCCTATTTCTTATTTATCTAAATTCATCCCAAAGGAAGTTCACTCCCTGCAATTTAAGGTGCATCATCTGGCTCCAGTAACTACTTGAGATAACAGATCCCGGGCTTCACGACGTGATATTTCACCCAAATACTGAAGTGACAGGAAAAGTAGACACTTAGGAATGCGTGACTAGTCAGCTTTTCTGCAAAGAAGTGGCAAAAGGAGAGGACCCCTTCTCGATAGCCTGAGTCACTCCCAGGGAGAGCAATCAGTCGAGCTCCTGGTGAAATGGAACCAGGAGACTCTCAGGAGGATTATATGTTATGTCCAATGCAGTAGAGAAGATAAAGACCATGCCCAGAAGAGGGGTTCTCCGGGGTTAGGTTATCCTAGAAACAGGCTTTCAAACAAAGATTTGGGTGCAAACAATTTGTTAAGATGGGTTCCAGGAGGCAACTATGGGAGACTGGAGAAATGAGACAAGGTAGTAAAATCCATAAAGGGTGGCATAGTTTACAGGTTATTGCTTTTGTACCGTAGGGCTCCCTAGATAAACTATTATCTCATTCAGAAGATGGGGCCTGGGTTATTTATTCACCAGCTCTCATCTGTCCTTGGCTAAGGGCTTCTCCTTTGCACTTCCCACTTGCCAAGAACATGGGCTGATCAACTACTGACAGTCAGAAGTCTGTTTTGACAAAGCTACCAGTGGCCGGGTTCAGTGGCTCACTCCTGGCTAAGGCGGGTGGATCACCTGAGGTCAGGAGTTCGAGACCAGCCTGGCTAACATGGTGAAACCCCATTTCCCCTAAAAATACAAAACTGGAGAGGAAAAATACAAGAAATAGCCAGGCATGGTAGTGGGCGTCTGTAATCCCAGCTACTCAGGAGGCTGAGGCAGGAGAATCACTTGAACCCACGAGGTGGAGGTTGCAGTGAGTCAAGATTGTGCCATTGCACTCCAGCCTGGGCAACAGAGCAAGACTAAGAAAAAAAAAAAAAAAACACAAGAAAGAAAAAGAAAAGCCATCAGCAGTGCTTGCATCTGGAAGCCATTGAGTGAGCATTGAGTGATGGTCTCTGAGGACATGTGGTGAACACCAGCAGCATATACTCCAAAGAGAAATATAAGCAAGAATCAGAAAATGAAAATTGAATTGTGATCAATTCCCCTAATCAAGCAGAAGTAAAAAGGGAGTGCTGTAAGTTCTTGAGAAGTATCTTGTAAAGATTAATCTAAAGACAGTTTCAATGGATTGCAGAGGAAAGCATAGAATAAGGTAGACCACTGAGAAATAAAGACAAAAATGTAAAGGTCTTTATTGCCTACAGAAAGTAACCACTCCCTGTCCTACACCCTGAAAAAAATCAGGAGTGTTAAAAAATCTAAAGGTAAAGTAACAGACAAAAAAAGTTCCTGAAAGGATTTACTAGAGAGGGAACACATTCTGTTTAATACAGAATGACACTGACACTTTGTATTTGAAAAAAGAAAACCTGTAATCCCAGTACTTTGGGAGGCCGAGGCAGGTGGATTACCTGAGGTCAGGAGTTCAAGAACAGCCTGGCCAACATGGTGAAAACTTGTCTCTACTGAAAATACAAACAATTAGCCGGGCATGGTGGTGGACACTTGTAATCCCAGCTGCTCGGGAGGCTGAGGCAGAAGAATCACCTGAACCTGGGAGGTGGAGGTTGCAATGAGCTGAGACCACGCCATTGCATTCCAGCCTAGGCAACAAGATTGAAACTCCATCTCAAAAAATAAATAAATAAATATATAAGAAAAATAAAATAAAAAAACACTTCTATATATCAAAATAACAAAAATATTAATTAAAAACAATTAGGAAACCTATGATTTTCATATAAATTATGAGGTTGATAGCTTCTTCTTCTTTTTTTTTTTTTTTTTTAGTTCATGTCTTTTATTAACTCATACAGTTACTTGTCTTCTGGTTTGTTGAAGCAGTAAGTCAGACAACATTTGCCACAATAATGTCTGTCAAAGTGGCTTGCCATAAACACCCCAGCACCACATTCATCAGAAGGGCACTCTCGACGAAGGCGACTAATTTTGCCATTCTCATCCACCTTATAGTATTTCAGGACAGCCAGCTTAACCTTCTTTCTCTTGTGCTTATTCTTCTTGGGAGTGGTGTAAGACTTCTTCTTCCTTTTCTTAGCACCACCAGAAGTCTCAACACAAGATGAAGAGTAGACTCCTTTTGAATATTGTAGTCAGACAAAGTACGTCCATCTTCCAGCTGCTTGCCAGCAAAGATCAGTCTCTGCTGATCAGGAGGAATTCCTTCCTTACCCTGGATCTTGGCCTTTACATTTTCTATCGTATCCGAGGGTTCAACCTCGAGGGTGATGGTCTTCCCCGTAAGGGTTTTCACGAAAATCTGCATTTTGGTGGCGGCTCCACTGCAGATAGCTTCTCAATCTATAGAACTCTTTATTATATGAAAAGCTTGGTCAAACTGCCTAAATTAGATAAATAAGTTTCTTTTGGAATCAATTTAGATTCTTTTAATTGGTATAAAAATAGTGCCCAGCACAAAGTATTACATGGGCATTAAATAAGGTAATAGATGTTAAGATCTTAACACACGCTGAGAATGGAGTTAATAGTAGCTCATATGACCTACTACTATTACTTGTACCATCAGCATCAGGCATCACCACTGTTCTACTACTGCCATTAATGTCATAATTTCTACAAAGACTGTAATCACACAAAAGGGTGAAGCTGAGTAAACCTCATTACCTTACTCCCTCTCATTGTCTCTTGTCTTGTATGCATCTAGGCACAAAAGTTCCCAGATTACGTTAAAGACTCCCTGAAAATTTTTGAAAGATGAATTCTGTAAACAAGATACTATACTCAATTATTGAACACCTTAAAACAAAATGGTGTCATATTATAGTACATGGTGGGAAGAGAATGTTTCTATACTTTTGGTGAGTAGTAAATAGCAACATTTTTCTTTGCAATTGGCTCTATGTATCAGTTCCAAAATGTTCTAAAAAATTATGAACATACATTTCTAAGATTATTAATCACAGCAATAATTGTGACAGATAAAGTTTGGAAACAATATAAATACCCATCAAGAAAGATTTGATTAAAATTATCTGTTCATATAACATAATACTAAGCAAACATTGAAATGATATTTTGGATATTTAAAGAGATAGGTTTAAAGAGATATTTAAAGAGATAGAAAAAAATCTTCACAGTGTATTTTTGGTAAAAAATTTGATGAATAAAAAATATCCAGTCTCTGTATAAAAAGTCTATATAATAATAAATGATCATGATCATATTTAAAATGTATTCAACATCTGATTTTTTTGGTGCTCTCTGCTAAATGTATTATGTGAGTTTGCTAATTTAATTATCATAAAAATCCTATGAAAAAAAATACTCTTACCCTCTTTGGTATACAGCTTTCACTACCGTAGCCAAAAGAACGAAGGTTGCATAGTCAGGTTAAATACCAAAAAAAAAAAAAAAAAAAAAAAACTGGAGAGGGAAAACTCATGTTTACAATGATTATCGAAGGTGGTGGTGGTGGTGGTGGTGGTGGTGGTGGTGTGTATGCGTCAATGTGACAGAGTTTATGTATGATATATTGGGAGATTGGTATTTTTCACATTATCATTGAAATTTTCTCCAAAGAATATATTTTACTTCGCTATATTAAGTTAGATTTTTTGATGAATGATAATGGTTATGTTACAATTATAGATTTGGGTTTCCTTTTAATAACTGAAATTTAACAAAGTAGCATATGGAGTGTACTTAGTACCTAGCACAGATCATAAAAATCTGTGGTCCTGGTAAGCATCTGGACTAGTAGATAAGTTATGCTGTTTCTTCAAATTGTGGAAATATATAGAGGAGGGAGAGCATTTATGTTATAGGAGACTTAGCTAGCACACCTACAGCTTTAAGATATAAACAGAAATTTATAAGCTGACTATTTTAATATCATGAAGAGTCCTATATTTTTGCTAATGGTAATATTAGTAGACCTTGTTTTTTTTAAGAGTTCAAGTCTAAATTTTATTCCACATACCAACCACAACTAGTGTTAGAATTTGGGTTATTCATAAGTAGTGATGGCCCTGGGTAGGCTTCTACTATCATAGAAAGCAGGTATCTGCCAAGGTACTCACTGGCAACATCCATACCTCTACTCATTAATTTACTTTATACATATTTATTGAGTTCCAATCATATTCAAAACATGTTGATAAGCACTGGAGCATGTTCGTGAGCAAGACACAGGCAAATCAAGCAAACCATTTTCTCCCTTCATAGAATGTCAGTCTTTCAATTCATGAAGTTGATTCCAATGACAGTAAATTGTAGGAAATGTCTAAGTTTAAATACAATGCATGGTTTCTATGCAGCATCAACCTAACCATTTTATAAAGAGGACATACAGACAGAACTGAACTTATTATTCAAAAATATACATCTAACTATAATATTTGTTGTTGTGCCTTGTTTTCTCCTTTACTTTCAACTTTCACACTGTTAGGAGCTAGATGTATACTTTCAAATAATAATGTTGCACATTAATTCTGTAATGTTGCACAAATTGAAACATAGATGAATTAGGAAGCTTTTTTTCCAGTTTTGAATATATGATTATAAAGCACAGTCCTAGATGAATGTAATTAGTTTTCTTTCTACTCTAGTAGCATATACCAGAGAATGGAGAACACTTGAACAACAAAAGCCATCTTATATATTTGTCCTCACAGATACCCTACAACTATCTTAAGTCAAGATGAAAAAGAGAAAAAAGTTGTGATGATGACACACGCAAGGCTCCAGGCAACCACACAGTACAGCAAAGGCTTAGTAGAAATCTATCATACTGAGATTGATTAGAAAAATAACAAACTGCTCTGCATTTCATTCACAATAAACCAATATGACTTAAATTCTACAGAATTGGCTCCCAAATTATGTATATATGTAATATATATATTACATATATATATAATTACATAATTATAAAACCTCCTCCTAGAAACTATATATTAATTGAGAGTAGTTTATTTGTGGTTTGATGATATTTGTAAATAGTTTTACATCATAATGAGTGTCAAGTAAGATATTTCACTTATAAAACCTACTAAAGATTTAGACTCCTTTGCAAGCTATCAGATATAAGATAACAATGATCTCATAGGCAGAGGGCAATGAAAGCTAAAATGTCTCATGAGAAAGTTTCAATCAAGTAATAAAATTTAAAGGAATTTAAGCAGCCTTTAGGATGTCATGCATCAATTTAGAAAGAATTTGTGATCTAGTTGAGAAATGCAAAACCCTCTGTCCAGTAAGAATGCAGTGGTTGTCTTCTACAGTAAGTAAAGCTTCACTGGGAAAGAAATAGTTCTGTGTATAAGTCTGTGGGCATGTGGATATGAAGGTGTAGTGTCTTTTCCAAACTCTGAAAATACTACTAATGGTAGCAACAGATACACATTTACACATAGATATTTTAGAGCTTTGAGCTACATTTCCTCTAAAACAACTGGTTGACCTTTCCTCTCTTTTTTGCTCTCTCTCTCTCTCTCTCCTGTCCTAATCTAGTCTGTCTTTCATCTCTCACAGTTTCCTTGTGTCTTCTATTATTTCAGCTTGAAATTACAAACCTAAATTCAACAAGGGTCAAGCAGATAACATGAAAGAATACAGTGTGCTGGTTGGGGGCTATGGCAAATTGGAGAGTGCATGCTATATCTGAAGGGGGCAAAATTAGCATTCAGTTTAAGAACTTGACCTCTAGTTATATGCGAACCCATCTCTCCACTTACCAGGTATATGGCCTTGGCTAAGCAAAGCACAATACTTATCTATTTGTGTCTCATTATCCACATTTGTAAATTTTGAGAATAATAGTGCCTACCTCATAAAATGGTGATTTGCTCATTCAAATAAAGTGAATAAAGTGCCTACTCTGTGAAGGACTTTATTTTAAGGTCTGCAGACACAGCAATGATCAAAAAGGCAAAGTCCTGGTTCTCCACAGCGCATGTTCAAAGCATGAATTATATAATCAATAAACTAAGAAAAAAAGATCATATATAATGTTCAGAAGCTAGTATGCATTATTTAAAAGGCTATAAGAGCATAGATATGAGTAGGGGTTTACTGTCTTAACAGAATGTAGAAATGGATGAATGTTTACATTTTATATAGGCTGTATTTATACAGGCTGTCCTGTCTGTGAAGGAGGCATTTGAGAGGATAAGTGATTAAAGTTAGGGATCAGGCTGTGAGCAGACCAGACTAGAAGGGCATTATAGGTGACAACATCCACAGCAAAGCCTCTGAAACTGGAATGCATTTAGTGTATTTGAAAAGAGCATAGAATCTGGAGCCTCTAGAACAGATGGAGAAAGATAGAGTTGCAGGTGACATTAAAAGTTAATGGAGGGTCTTTTAAGTGATTTCAAGGATCAAAATCTTTTACTCTGAAAAAGATGAGGAGCTAAGGGACAGTATTGAACTGAAGAAAAACATGATGTCACTTGAGATTTCAGTTAGTCACTGTGGCTGTGGCTGTTTTGGAGAGAATAGGCTTTAATGGATTAGGAATGGCACTGATAAGCCAGGAAGACCAGGTTGCAACTGATGGTTGCTTGAGCCAAGGTGGTAATGGTGAGGGAGATGAGAAATGGTCAGTCTCAAAATATAATTGAAACGTAGGGCCAACATCACTTACCCACCTAGGGTATGGGATGAGTTGAAGGTGAAACCAAGATTTTTTTGTCCAGACCACTGCAGATAGGAGCAGATAGTTACTAAGATAGGGAAGACTGGAAAATTCAGATTTTGAGGTTGGGAAATAAATTCGTTTGTAAAGATTAGGTAGAAAACACAGATCAAGGGCTTAAACTAGTACCTGGCACATAGTAGGTGCATAATAAGTATTAGCTATAATTATTATCACCATTCTCATTTCTATTATTATATTAATTTAAGCATGATACTGTCATACCTCTTGCTTTTTCAAGCAAAGCTGTCAATTTAACTTCATAAAATATTCTCATTATCATGTCAAAAGTCATAAATCTCTGATGTTATCTGATGCTGCTGAAGTGGACAGTCCTCTGTTCACGTTGATGACATGTTACCTAAGCACCTGTCAGGTCTCAGCTTTGCTGCCTTAGATCTTTCTTTGAAGCCATGGAAATTGTTTCCGTTCTCAATCAGGCAAAGCCTGGATGTATAGGAAATTTAACTCCCCAGCAGTATTCTTCAACCAATGGAGTCCAGGCTTTAAATTTAACCAGACCTTGACGGAAAATCTGAAGAAAATGTTGAATGCTTCTCTGCAGTTCTTCAGAGGATACCCAGAAGGAATACATCCAGTTGTTCCAAGCAGCTGCCAGCTTCAAACACACACTTTTGTAGCCTTGGTCCTTGTCTGGCTCTCTCTGCTCCTTCACTCTGAGTTTCCACAATTGCATCTAAAACTAACAAACAAAAAACAAAACAAACAAAAAACAAACAAAATAAAACCAAAAATTATCTGAACCCAAATCCTATCTTAGGCTTTGCTTTCAGTGGAATTCATACGAAGATAAAAGCTAATAAAAAGAAAGTAATCTGGCCAGATTCAGTGGCTCACACCTGGAATCTCAGCATTTTGGGAGCCTGGGTGGGAGGATCGCTTGAGGACAGGAGTTTGAGACAAACCTGGGCAATAAAGCAAGACTGTCTCTACAAAAAAGTTTTAAAATTAAAATAAAAAGAAAACAATGTGAAAGCCAAAGTTCACATCATAGGACCAGTTTGCTACCAATACTCATGCCATTACATCACTATGTATGTCATTTCTTCCAAGAATTGCTGCACACTGTGAATTATTGTCCACCCAAAATTCAAGCCAGGGTAAAATCCTAGCTTTTTTTTTTCAGGAGGGCATACATGATCATAAAGCATTCCTAATGCCCTTTTTACTTGAATAGATATTTAAGTGGCATTCTGGAAGAAAGAGAAATAGTCAAACTTGGTTCTATTCAAATCTCCAGAAGAGAAAGTGGGGAGTAATATTCAAGAAGTATCCCCTTATGTGCAAGACATTGGGTTAGATTTCACACAGTGTTTAGGCAAATCTTCACTATTGACCTGGAGAGAAGGCAAACCTTTATTTTAGATGATAAATAAGGGCATATAAAATGTAAACTGCCCAATGCCACATAGCTAGTTTTTAACAACCCTAAGATACAAAAAAAGATCTGCGAAATATCTTAGCCTACACCCTTTTAAATCCATAAGGCTACTGACTCTATCCGATTTAATTATTATCTTATGCTCCTTTACTTTGATCAAATATCTGTTAATTTAATTAAGCCTATAGGGAGAGATTTAGATTTCACAGGATAAGAAAAAATCTAGAATTCTTAAAGTAAAATTGTATCTCTTGTGGGGAAAAAAATGATGGAATAAAAAAGGAAATGAGAAGTAGATGAAAATATTATATGTCCCACTTTTAGAATTTTGCCTTCTAAGGGGTTGTAATACATTCAAGAGAAATTTTTATAACTGAATCGTTCAGAGTATTTTTCAAAGTACTATAGAAATTCAACTCTTAAAATACTTTGAATCTACTGAATCTGATCAAAACTTAATATCAGTTTAAAGCCTCCCTTTTCTTCTTATATACAAATTTAAAGGAAACGTGCGCAAAAGCATCTGGAAAGACGTGAGTATCTCATGAAATAACAGTTTTTGTTTTTAAACGAAGACTTTTAATACAAATATATGCTCAGACACCATCCTATCCATTTCCATTGACTTTTATTCAGTTTCAGTATTGTCCAATTAAATCCCGATTAAATGAAATTTATTTTGATTATTTGATCAATCCTTGTAATGATCAATAGTTTCCATTACTTTAGTTACTTTCAATAAACTTTTGATTGAATCATCTTATGGTTAATTATTTTCTACAAATTTCAAATGGCTTCCAGTTTATTCAATCTATAAACTTAAAATCAATATTGTTTACATACCCAGTATCAGGGTGGGGGTGGGGGTGGCCTTTACACTCAATTGACTTAATTGTTCTGAGATGGGAGCTAGTCTATCTCATTTAATTCTGTGTGACAGAGTACAGTGCACATAAAAGCCAATGCTTCAATGATAAGCATCACTGCTGGCTTGCAACTGCTAAAACTGTTAGAAGAATTGTAATTCAGCAAGATTTGGTGTTTCCACGTGATGCTGCCAAGTTTCAGAACCTGTTACAAACACTTGTCTTTGGAGTTACCCATTGCCCATGTTTGCTAACTTTCCAAGCATGAGGAGAGGTGCTGAGACATAGTAATAAGCAAAGGGCTCTGGAGCCAGACTGTCTAACTTTGAATCCTGCTTCTGTCCTTTTTCACAATGTTACATTGGTTGTGCAAATTGTCTAACCTGTCAGTGCCCCAGGTTTCTCCTGCAAGAAACGGTATCTGCCATATAGGATTACTGCATGAATTAAAACATTTACAAGTGTCTGACCCATACAGATTTCTGAGTCTTAGCTGCTATTATCACTCTGATTTATGGTTATAAATACTAACATATATATTAAGCACTGACCAGAAGATAGACTCATTTTTCTGTGATTTATACTGTTATGTCATTTGTTATTCACAGAAACCTTGGAGAGTAGGTACGAATTTTTTTTTTTTGGTTTGCTGATGAACCAAAGTTCAGAAGATCAGTTGATACAGTATCTAACGTTATTCAGTGATCAAGATGCATTTGAGACAGGCCCATTTAAATAGAGACCTAACCTGATTTTGGAGTGTTGTGCTGCCTTCTCATAATGGAATTTTCCTCTATGTGTCAGATTTTAATTGTAAAAGGTTACCGTTATAATCACTTGTTCCTGGACTAGATGTATAGATATGTACATATATGGTATTGTTTTCACTATAGTGAGGAAGTAAGAGTTTTGGAAGAAGGATAAGAGAACCTGATAGAATTCTTTTCATCCTTAAGACTAGGGGTACAGACTGGGCATGGTGGCTCCAGCATATAATCCCAGCACTTTGGGAGTCCAAAGTGGGCAGATCACTTGAGCCCAGAAATTTGAGGCCAGCCTGGGCAACATAGCAAAACCCTGGTCTCTATAAAAAATATAAAAATTTGCCAGGCATGATGGCACATGCCTGTAGTCTCAGCTACTTGGGAGGCTAAGTCAGGAGGATCTGTTGAGCCCCAAAGGTTGGGCCTGCACTGAGCCATGATCATGACACTGCACTCCAGCCTGGGTGATAGAGTGAGACACTGTCTCAGCCAAAAAAAAAAAAAAAAAAAAAAAAAAAAAGACTAAGAGGGCATGATGGTTTGCTAGCAACTTCACCGGCAACAGTCAACAATGTCATTAGGAAAGTTTAAGCTGTATAAATTAAGTATGACAAAATTTTTTGTCTGAACAAAATATATATTAAGTTTTATTTAAAAAATAAATAGAGATCTACCAGAGAGAGTTCTGTGAGTTGTCAAGGATGTGTGGAAAACATTAAGTGATTTCCTACAAGTATCTCTGCTTTCACCAGTGGTTAAAATATATTTGTAATCTAGAGACAGCAATTGGAGCCAATGAAGAAAAATGGAATGAAATATTCTACCAAGTTAGTCTGGAACAGAAATATGAAAGATTTAATTAGAGTTCAAAGGCCTCAAGGAAAGTGTGGTTAGAACCAAGATGGCAAAGTGCAAGCAACAAATCTAAGTCAGGCTGAAGGACAGTGAGTAGGTTATGTAGCCAGTCACTGAACACCAAGCGGAAATGAGCATGAAATGGGAACAAGCTGGGAATCAAGGGAGGAAAGCCTGGAGTTGGCTTGTAATAATTATATTGGTCCTGTAGTTTTCTATCACTTCTTGTCAAGCAAGAATGCGAAAGGGAGATATTCCCTGGCATCTTAAAATTAAAATCCATGTGATCACAGGGAAATGAAGGCAGCTCCCTTGTCTCAATAAAATTGAATTCATATCCAAATAAACTATATTGTCTATATTAAGAACTTCAAGATTCATTGGCTCCTGCAGTGAGGGCGTATAAATGGACAATATGTTCTTGCCCCTATTAAGCACACTCAGAGAAGGAAGGGAGATTTGGTCCCTGCCTTCAAAGAACTTACAAATCAGCTTCCTCGCATTATATGTGGGTAGCAATATACAAGAGTAAATAGGCAACTTTTGACAACTTCTCTGAAATATATGTATCAAAAAATATTTACATTACATATGGAACACTAAGATTTTTTAAAATTGTTTTTCCCTTTGTGAATTGGTAGTAGTAGTGTTCATTAATAAACAGTTGTTCAACCCAAATGCCCATAATGATGGACTGGATAAAGAAAATGTGGCTCATATACATCATGGAATACTGTGCAGCCATAAAAAGAAAGAGTTCGTGTCCTCTGCGGGGACATGGATGAAGCTGGAAACCATCATTCTCAGCGAACTGACACAGGAACAGAAAACCAAACACCGTATGTTCTCACTCATAAGTGGGAGTTGAACAATGAGAACACATGGACACAGGGAGGAGAGCATCACACACCGGGGCCTGTAGGGGGTGGGGAGCAAGGCGAGGGAGAGCATTAGGACAAATACCTAATGCATATGAGGCTTAAAACCTAGATGATGAGTTGATGGGTGCAGCAAAGCACCACGGCACATGTATACCTATGTAACAAACCTGCATGTTCCGCATGTGTATCCCAGAACTTAAAGTAAAAAAAAAAAAAAAAAAAAAAAAAGAAAAGAAAAATAATTATTTGCACATCTAGAATGGTTTTAGGAAAACTTGTTGGGAATTTCAAGGAAAATCGCATATTTTTATGTGAAAAAAATAGTAACTACAATTTTCTACAATAATTTTAGTTTTGAAGTGTTTGTAATTATGGGAAAATGCCCAGTCAAGTAAGAAAATAAAAAAATCAGCCGGTCATGGTGGCTCACTCCTATAATCCCAGCACTTTGGGAGGCGGAGGCAGGTGGATCACCTGAGGTTGGGAGTTCGAGTTTGAGACTAGCCTGACCAACATGGAGAAACCCCATCTCTACTAAAAATACAAAATTAGCTGAGCATGGTGGTGCATGTCTATAATCCCAGCTACTCAGGGGCCTGAGGCAGGAGAATCACTTGAATCCGGGAGGTGGAGGTTGTGATGAGCCGAGATTGTGCCATGGCACTCCAGCCTGGGCAACAAGAGCAAAACTCTGTCTCCAAATAATAAATAAACAAATAAACAAACAAACAAAACTAAAATAGTAAGAACAACACAAAAATCCAAAATCCTGATGTAAAAATCTATAGCATGACATAAACATGATCCTAGAGCAGACTCTAGGCTTTGTTTCTTTATAACAAGTACAAATACATTGTAATTTAAACATGACCTTTTGCTTGTTTAGAACTGTAAAATGGCTTGAGCATCATTAAAATACAAAACAAGAAATGAGTAAATCTGAAGAAGATCATCCTTTGCTGACATAATATCAGATGGAGTCAGACTAGCTTTTTAATGAAGAGTAGTTTATGAAAACCACAACTATAGCCTAAATCAGAATGGGGAACTTTTAAATATCCTTATTCAAAACTTGAATTGCATTCAAAGTGGCTTTATTTTCTTTGCGTGCGAAGAAAATTATAAGTGATCTGATATTTTCCTCAGTTTCCCTCCACTTACATCTCTAAGAACTTTTTTTCCTCCAAAATTCCATGATATTGTCTGTTGTAATATGGCAGTGGTATAAGAATATGAGAGCTTTTAGACTGAAAGAAACAAAAAAGACAGTTACCCATGGATAGGAAAAACAGCCATTTGTTGTCTTCTAAAGGAATCAGGTTTGTATTCTTAAAATCATTTTAAAAAGTACCTTCTGCATCAATTTTAAGACAAAGCTAATCTAGGTGGAGTGGGGAGAATCAAGAGAAGGGGTTAGTTGAGGGCGGAGGTTTGAGTCAGGTTAAAAATGAAGTCTCCTGTGGGACACTCGCTAACATGGTGCTTGGTAGATGTTGTAGAGTCAGGCCAGTGACTTATAGGAGTTACCATTTCTGCTACGCTAATTGCAGCCATGAAAGAAAAAAGAACAAAGCAATGGTTTAAAAGGAAGGAGAAGGAAAGCAAGAATGGGAGGTAGCTATGCAAAGAAGAAATTTAAGATAGTCATGGAAGAGTGAACTGTTGTGAATTCATTTCTTATCCCTCTTCTACATATGCTAGCAGTAATACCTTCAGTGAGATTAATTCTTACACCTCTGCTGAGATTCACTAACCTTGTACTGCTCTGGTATTTTAAAGCCAGGTTTCTTTACAAAAAGATTTTGGCTCAGTTGCTAAATGCATACTATTTTACATTAGGAACAGTGTAAATAATTCAACTGTCTTTAGTGCACCTGTCAGGAAAATGAGGAAGGCTTGAAGTTTACATGTGCATAAAAGAGCAAGGGTGATAGATAGAAAGACAAGGTCTGTGATCTCTCGATTCTGTCTTGGCATGTGATAGCTGTGTAGGGCCAGTATTTCCCATTATAAGACAAAAATGAATCCATATTGATCTCTAATCTCTCTTGAGCATCCTTTGGAAAAATGATATTTATTCACAGAGGAGGTACCAATCACTGCAGAACTCTAATAATTTGCTTCAGATGAAAAATGAGTGTGGAGTCAAATTATACTGAGCTCTGAGGCAATGTATTTGTTTTATTTTCTCTTGTTTCTCAGCGAGGGTGAATATTGTTATTTAAAACTCTATTATCGCCTATATTTAGATAAAATGTATGGCATCTTATTATATAAAGTAGTGACATGCAGTACAAATATAATTTGTATATCTGCTGTCTGTTTATCCCAGGAAATTATATGCTTTTAAAAGGCAGGAGTTTTGTTATTTATGTAGTGCCCCCCAACTCCAGTGCATAGCAGGATTTAGTACACAAAGTAAGATAACAATCAATATTTGTTTAATAAATGTTTGAAAAATCTGTGTGCAAGTATAGGAAAACAGGTGTTCTTGCACTAATTCTATTGGTTTAATTGAGTGCAATTGCATATATATTTTATTGTGAGCCACTTCAAAACTCTTTTGGATGAAGGCAGATTATAAATTATAAATTAATGAAAATTATAATGATTTATGGATTAAGGTTCTCATAGAAGACCAAATGTTCCACATTTTCAATCATCTCTACAGTCCCAAGAACTAATATTCCTGACCTTCTGTTGGTATTCAGTGTTCATATACTGAGGTGGTGAAGATTAAAAATCACATTAAAATCATGGTCAGTAACACCAAATGTCTCACCTGACTATAACTTTCCTTTGGTTCCCATTAAACTTTTGAACTCCTAGTGAACAATCTGGAAACTTTTTAGCATAATATAAGCACATACTCCTAATTTTAATCTGAGGAATTAAAACTGACTGCAATTTATGTTAGATTACATTCAAACGTTTTTACTAGCTAATTCAACAAAATGTAGACATGTTTTCCAAATACTGACTAATCTTTAAATTCACATTAAGTTTGCGGAGACATTTAATCCATATGCTTCTTACTGTAACTCATCATTTTGTAGGCGAGAATAGGTCTAAGTTCAGGACTATTTTTTGACTAAGACTCTTTGAGTGTTTTTAATTAACATTTAAAACTTTTTTTAAGGCAGGAAGTTATGTTTGACAAAGTTAAGGCCAAACACCAAAAGGTTAGTGTTTTGTCTAGAACTCGGCATACATGAATCTTAAATGAATTTTTCACTTGGCTAAAATAAGCTGCCTCACCATTTGAGAAAATTGATGGGAAATAAGAATATTTGCCATTAAGAAGCTTATGACCGGGTGTTTAATAATAGCTAGAGATGAAGGAAAGGTAGAAGGAAAGGAATCAGTTTTTTAAAGAAAACAAATTCTTAAATGTTGATCAATGGCCATGCACACCTGAATACTTTCTTTTAAGTTGTTGAGGAATTCTGAAATCCTGGCCCACGATTTTTCTCACTTCCTTAGAATTAAATGTAAAATTTATTTCTAAAACTGTTTGTCTAAAACAAGTCAGGTACTCTCCAGTTAGGGGGGTCTGTGTGTGTGTATGAGAAAGAGAAACAGAGAGAGAGAGAGAGAGAAGAAGAGAGAAGAGGAAAAGGTAGCAGGTAGGTAGGAGTTTGGGACTTTTTTGGTCATGCCTAATGTTGGGGATAATTGATGGACTTCTGGTCTGATGATATCTTGACAAAATAAAGAATGTTATGCAAGGTATGAAAATACATCTGGATTGTTTATCTCAAGGAGGAAAGAACAGATGTTAAGGGTGGAGTTGGAAAGATAAGGAAGGCAGTTGAGTATTCAGATAAAAGAAGAAGAGACTAGAGGAGAATGGCACCCAGGTTCAATAGGTCTCCAGTGATTCTCATTTCCTGGTATATATGCTCTTGGATAGTGTCCTCACCCATTTGATAAGGACTGGCCTGGTGACAAATAACATGACAGAAATGATGATGTATAACTGCCGAGGATACGTCATGAAAGACATAGCAGCTTCTGCCCTGGTCTCTTAAATATAATTCCCTCTGTGTGAATGCAGCCATCATGCCATGAGGACACTCAAGCAGTTCCTTGTCAAAACATGCTGCCATTCTGTCCATGAGCCAGAACAATCTTGCCAGTCCTGTGAATGAACCATCTTAGAAGCAGAATATCCAGTCCCAGGAAAGTCTTCAGGTGACCAGCCCCAGCTGACATCTGACTGTAACCCCATACAGCAAAAACTACTTAGCCAAGCTCCCGAATTCCTGACCAGAGAAATCATAATAAATAATCAATCCTTATTGTTGTTTTAAACTATCAAATTTTGAGTCGTTTGTTAAACATCTGTAGATAAATAACATGGCAAGAAAGGTTGATTCAGAAACAAAATATACTCATTTATTCAAACATCAAATATACATTGAGGGCCAGGTAATTTGAGGTTTTAATGCAAAAAAAAAAAGATCGATAGAGTTCTGACTTATTGAATTTATATTCTAATGAAGGTGGACACTTTATCGAATGTTAACAGATTAATAATACAGTAATTATAAATTAAGACATTCCCATGAAGAAAATAATATAGGGCTGAAATGAAGAAAATTGGGGGTTAATTGAGAAGAGTTTTCAGAAAACATACTCATAGCAGTTTCTCTGAGGAGGTGAAATTTACATAGGGATAAGAAGGCTGAGAAGGAGCGAGTTTATCACATATTGAGGGAAACATATACTCATGTATGCAAAATACCTGAGCTGAGGAAGGGCTTAGTATGTCTGCAGGAAGAAAAAAGAATGTAGAGCAGAGTGAGTGACAATTATGCATAGGGAAGGTAGGACAGGAGGAAGGGTTAGATTTCAAAGACTTCCATAAGCCATAGTAAGGAGTTAGGCCATTCAATGGCAATCCACAGAAGGATTTCAGCATAGGAAGTAATACTGTAATCAAATTCATTCTACGGGTGCACGGAAGCATTCCTTCATCAGAACAAAGACAGGTATCTTAAGGGGCTGGAAATTTATCATGATCAATCAGGGCTTCATGCCTTAGTGAAAGTTCCTGCTAAATGAAAATATTTCTACTTATTTTTAGTATATTTGTGCAGAACTATGAGGTGATAACTTGGGCAAACATTTGGAAAAGAATTCCTGGTACAGAAACTTGTTATTGTCTATTTTTAGAGAATTTAATATCCTCAAAAATAAGCATCTTTGGGTTAGGTTTTTATTTGGAATTCAGTGATATGAAGGCATAGAAATAAAGAACAGAATCATTTCTATGAAGTATTATGGGTCTAAGAATCTTCAGGATAAAGATCTTCAGAATTGTAGCTTACAAAAGTGCCACATTATAATCACGAAAATTTTTTTTTTACCTATAGCCTCAGCTCAGTATTCCAAAAGAATGATCATAAGCAGTAAGCATAATAATCTCTTTCTAGTCTAAAGAATCCTAATTGTGCTGAATCATGTGCAGACACGATTTGACAAAATGTAATAATGCAGGTAACATTTTTAAAAAGAACACATTAATTTTGAATTTGCAATTTGCTGCAATTTAAATAACTATTACTTTAATAGTGGATATTAAATTTTAATTTTGCAAATTTTTTCTAAAAGGTTTGAGTGTCAACTCAAATTCAGTAATTTGCATTTTTAAAAAAATATATTTCTCATCAGTGTAAAGTACTGTTTGTCACCTGGCAGGTAATAATTTCCTATCCCAACTCTTAGTTCTGGTTAATATTTTCCTTTTCAAAGAATATATTAAATCAAAAGAACACAACATTTTATGCTAATGCAATCTTTGTAAAGGCTGAGACAAAATTTCAAGTACTGATAATTATGAAAACTGTACAAGAGGGTTCTAGAAATATTGGTTTTCTTTAATCCTACAAATGCTGTTCTGTAAAAAGAAAATGATTTTATACATTTATTTTCAAAAGACTAGCTCCGAGTAATATATTTCCAGGAAGTACATTTCTCAAACAGGCCAATTGATTCACCCATTGAAGCATTTTCATTTCATATTATGTATTTGAGAAAGTCACCAGCATATATCACATATATCATTTGTCATTGGAATGATCATTTTGATTTTAAAGTATGTATCAGCTCAAAATGGCAAGTATTTTGAATAATCAAATGCATTCAATAATTCAATAATTAAGAAACATTTACTTAGCACATACATTGTTTAGAAATTTTGCTAAGGGATGGGAATCCTAAGAAGAAAAAAACAATCTCTTTCTTCAATAAATTTTTAATGCAGTTCAAGAGATGAAGTATTTCATATTATGTTACTGCTGTAATACATATATTAACATATTATAAAGAAAGAAATTAAAATTAAAGAAGACAACCGCCACAGTGAGTGTGAAAGGAGGGCAAAGTGAAGGCAGGCTTCCTGGAGGAAGTGATGCTTGAGCTAGGTTTGAAGACAGAGTTAGAGAAACAGGGAAAAGTACCACAGGAGGAATGGCCAACATGTCCAGAGACACAAAGTGAGAAATACAGGAGAAGCTGCTTGTGATAGCTGGAGACTTATATATACATACATATATATACATATATATATTTATATAATTTATATATATTTATATATTTATATATAAATATATATTTTATATTTAAATATATATTTATATATTTATATATTATATATATTATATATTTATATAATATATAAATATATATTTACATATATTTATAAATATATCATATTTATAAATATATGCAAATATATATAAATATATAAAATATATATATTTATATATATATATTTGCAGTGTGGGCAAAAAGGAAAAAATAACAAAGGTGGAGCAAGATTTAAAAGGACCTTCTTTGCTATGCTATGGATATGAGGACTTTGTAAGGCAAAATAAAACCATAGGGATATTATTACTGAAATCTTAAATCTACTTTAGAAAAAAACAAAAACTAGTTTATGGATTCTTAAAAAATCATCCTCAGTTGCGTTTTGCATGCTGATCTTGTCTTAACTCCAAATTTTTGAAAGAGAAACTCAATACTCTAATACTCACGAAGGTGGCTGCCATGTCAACCTTAGAGAGCAAAATCCTTAATTAAGGCTCAGGTCAGCCACAGTGAAGCAGCAATCTTTCCCATATTGATCTGGATAAACTGCTTAGGAGAGTGAAAATACCATTGTCTCTGTTTATTTTCCTTATACAGCCGGAAGTTTAATTTCCACTGTATGGGCTTCAACAAAATAAACTGATGATGCTTGACTCTGCACATTGACTGTCCAATCACCTTCACTCTTTATTTCTTGAAGTTGAGGAAGGCAACAGCCACCCATCACATTCAGCCAGTTTTCCCCTGGCCAATGTCTCTGGGGACCTTGGCCTCAGAATATTGATGTAAAGGTGCCCTTGAGAACAATGTGGAAGACAGACAATCAAAGTCCTGGCTAGAGCACTTGAAGAAATAAACCATGTGACTGTTTTGAGTCATAAAAGTCATCAATCTAAGTTGAAAAAATAAACCCTCCTACACCCGCACCCCCAATTTGCTTCAGTCTGTTTATTATGTAGCAATCTAGCCAATCATAACTCACATCAAATGCTTTTCGTGTTTGTGAAAAAAATCAGGAAAACCACCTATTGTTATGCAGTTGAGTAAATTAAACTGCTTTTAACCAAATTGCAGGGGGTTTATAATTGGATTTCAGGTTTTTTTAAAATACAACTTTAGGTGTGAGTTCCCATGCCCAGGGATATATTTGTGCTAAAATAGTCACAAAAGTTGAGATATGATTATTAGTTGTAGATATGATGTAAATTATCCACATTTAGTGTCTTAAGGTAGGTTTATAGCTACAGGACCTGAGATGAGATCCATGTGAAATTGATTCAACAAAGAAGATCTAGGGTTTGATATCAAGCCCTTTCTCATTTGTCTCCCATTTCCTCTTCTGCTTTCCCCAATCTATTCCCAATCCCACAGAGAGTGGCTTCACTCTGATCACATGGGAGAGGTCTGTAGAGTAAGTTACGCCTCAGTATGTCCTAAACGAAACCATGAGTTTTGAAAGCTTTTAACACCCATCAGTCATTGGCTCAGAATTGCAAAGGAACTTACGTTCTACACCATTTTTAACTCTTTATAAGCTGTCTCCAATAGCTTGAGATCACTATACTAAGAGAACCATAGAGGCCAACTTTTTTTTAAGTGTCATGAAGCTGGGAAAAGCATAAAAACAGTCAATAGATACATAAGTAAATAAGAATGTCCAAGGAGACATTATGTCCTCTTAGTTAGTGATTTGATTGGATAGTGGTACACAAACACAGGTTGAAGAGAAGTTATAGAGACCGTGGGAAAGGTAATTTTTATTCAGGGCTATCCTGAGAATTCATGACATGCAGATCATCTCAGTGTAATATAGGCATCACCCTTTCAAGCAGTTGATTTATTGAAATGGCAAAAAAAGAAAATAGTTTGGAGAGGTAGTTATTTTCCTTACAAACAGATTCTAGTGAATGTTGGACATGCATTGAATGATCATTGAGATAATTGTCAGAATAGAATTCTAATCACAAATTTGTTTCATGCCAGTAAGTTAGGACATAGGAATTTTAAAAGGACTTCTGCCTTATGTGTTAGAGTGAATACAGTGGTGCACCAGTAAGACCCTCCTTCTCAGGGCTGACACATGTTTTTTTCCGCTGCTAATAACGTTGGATGCTGATGTTTCACAGTTGAATCCTTTCTCAATAAATTGCTTTTGGCTGTAGTGTGCAGCTTCTCCCAAGGCTAGGCTCTCTCCCTGGGAACAACCTGCGTTTGGTAGAGTTTGAGTATGAAGATCTGAGCACTTCTCTTTATTTTGAAATACCGAAGGGCTCTCCCACCTCCACAGTTATTTTTAAGATTGGCTAAGTCTTCCTTTATAGCCAAATTACAGATTAATTTCTCCTACAGTTCTCAGTAGCTCTCTCTGATAAACTTTCTGAAGGTGTATCTGTGCCTTAGAGTCCCTTTTCTGGGTAATATGGTGTAATACTATGGATGATACATTGGTCCCAGGAAGCAAAATCTAGAATGAAATTTTTACTGTGGAAAAATACATGTAACATAAAACTTACCATTTTAATCATGTCAAAATGTACAGTTTAGTGGCATTAATTGCCTTCACAATGTTGTGCAACCATCACCACTACCTAGTTCTAGAATTTTTTTCACTACCCTAGATGGAAGCCCTATATCTATTAAGCAGTGATTTCCCATTCTCCCCTCCCTCCAGCCTTGAAACAGCACTAATCTGTTTTCTGTCTCTATGGGTTTACTATAAATTGAATTGTAGAATATGTGACTTTTTGTGTCTGGCTTCTTTGACTTAACATAATGTTTTTTAATATTATAAGTACGTCATTCCTTTTTATGGCTAAGTAATATTCCATTGTATGGATATACCACATTGTGTTTACCCATTTATCTATTGATAGACATTTGGCTGTTTCTACTTTTCAGCTACTATGACTACTGTTCTTATGAACATTCATATACAACTTTCTGTTTGAACACCTGGTTTTAATTCTTTTAGGTATATGCCTAGGTGTGGGCTTTGAATCATAAGGTCATTCTATGTTTAACTTGCTGAGGAACCGCCAAACTGTTCTCCACAGTGGCTGCACCATTTCACATTCCCATGAGCAATGTGTAAGGATCCTAATTTCTCTTTCCTCCTCCCCAACACCTGTTATTTTCTGTATTTTTTTATTAAGACCTTTCTAGTAGGTGTCAAGGGGTATCTCACTGCGGTTTTCATTTGCATTTCCCTAGTGACTAATGATAGTTAATATCTTTTCATGTGATATTTAACCATTTGTAGTCCTTTGCCCATTTTCAGTTGGGGTGCATGCCTTTTAGTTCTTGAATTATAAGATTCCTTTATGTATTTAAATAAGATTTTGGTGGTAGAGTACATGCTATGCAGCTGTTAATGTTGACTGCATAAGAGGTGGTGTCCTGACATCATTTGGCATGCTATAGAGGTACAAATGTGAATATTTTTACTTATAGCAAACTGAGATGTGATACAAGAGAAAGGAAACACTCTGCCAGATGCAGTATCTTAGTCTTCTGAGAAGTTCTAAGAATCTCATAATAACAACTATTATGGAATCATATGTCTCTTGCTGGGAGTTATCAATGTATTAGATAAAGATGATGAAAGTATGTAGAAATTATGGGTGTTCCTACACTCCAGTCCTAGTCACGGATGGTTATTAACTACTCTGGTGTGAAGAAATCCTTTCAATGTCCGAGTTTTGCACTGTGTACCTGGTCATCCATTTTATGAAGAAAGAAAAGTAACCCAAGACAGAGATATATATACACACTCATGGATGGTTGATAACAGCATGTATTGTTAGTCTGAGGCCTAGAAGGTAAAGAATTGAAAGATAAGAAACAAGGAGGTCTGCAGAAGTAGGATGTGATTGGACCTATGGGGACTGAGACGCCACCACAAATGCTGATTAAAGTAAATGACTTGGTAGTAACTGTGGAGATGAAACAAGTTGCCAAATTCTGGATATAGTTTGAAGGTAGAGTGAAAAAGATGTCTTTATGATTAGACAGGGTTTGTGGAAAAAAGCAAGAAGTCAAGGAGGTTTCCAAGCTTTTGTGCCTGAAACACCCACATACATATACACACATACACAGAGGACTCTTTGAATCCAGATACTAGAGATAAAATATGCTAGTAATAGTAATGCTATCAATTTTTATATCATTTAATTTACTTACAACTTTCTTTCTTGTTATATAGTATTTATAATATAATTTTGATAGCAACATAATACTTATTGGTTTACTTCATCATTTCTCTGCAGTTGAAAAAATAAATTATCAGTTTTTTGCCATAATCAATAATACTGCAAAAAGTATATTTAATACATAGAAGTTTAAATTTAGGCTTTATTCTTTGAAATGAGACCATTGGCAATAACTCTTTAGGAAATATATCTTGGTTTTCTCTTATACTTGCCAGTAATAATAGTTATCAGTTATACTTGCCAGTATTCGTTACCTATGTATATCTTTATCAGTATATAAATGGTTAATATTATATATAATAAAAATATAATATACAAGAATATATTTTATATAATATTTTCCAGTCATTGGGATAAATTGTAACTTATTTTAAATATTTTCATTTATTTCATTATTACTGAGATAGAAAATGTTCTCCATATACTTGATAACTGTCTAGTATTTCCTCTTTGCAAATGATATATTCAGGTCTTTTTCAATTTTACTTTTTAAATTCTTGATATTTTCTCACTGATTTGTAAAACTTTTCTATATTAATAAATACATTGTCAATTTGTCGTATTTTCTGGAAATACATTCAGCAGCTTTTTTTTGAAATAGACTTTTTATAGCTTTTTGTTGATATGTTGCTTTGTAATTGCTTTTCTATGTCTAAATTTAAAACTGTATCCACATGTCAGAAATTTTTCTCTACAGTGTATTTCATTTTCCAGTATTTATCTGTGCTTTCATCTTAATACTGAATTCGTCTTGTCTCCTGAAATATCCCTTTGTGCAGAGTAACATCATCATTACATATTTTATGAAACTAAGGGAGAGGAAGAGAGAGAAAATAATTGTTACCCAAGCCCTTCTCTAACCCCATCTCCCCCCAACTTAGTTGGTAAGGGATAAACTTCAAAATTGAAGCTGTTTAAAATGTTACTGAGACATCAAAAACATGATATTTCACATAAATGTTATAGCTGGTATTTTTTAGTTAATCAATTAATAGTTATATTATAGGATAGCGAGAAAGAGAAAAGCTTCCTAGAGGCAGACAAAAGCAAGCTTATTGCTATTAGCTCCAGTAATTAGCTGCCCCTTTTCCTTTCCACATTCAGCTCATTGTACTTATCAAATAAATGCATCTACATTTTTAGTGGCTCTGTGATTCTAATACAATCACTGGCCAAGTCAAAGAATATTTCCTCTTTAAGTGTCCAGATTAGTCTTCATACCAATCTTGGTCAAAAGAGATAAACTGCAGACTCATTGGAACCAAACAATAGTTTCAATAATACCTTAATGGGGGAAATAGGAATAAATCAGAGGGAAAGAAAAATAAGAGAGAAAGCTGTGATATTTTTTAATATCTTGGATGGCAAATAGCATTTCTCACACCATTATCAGCCCAATTTGAAGTGAGTCAAAAGGAGTCTTATTTGCTTGAGAAGAACCAGCAGTTTTGCTAACAGCTGTTAGGACCCCTATCTATATTCTTTTTGAAGACTTTGAATTCAGCATGATGTTCTCTGCCAAGACTTCAATGCTTGCAGGATAAACAAGTAAAACCTGAAGATGCCAGGATGTCTTAAAGAGAAAAATGATTGGCCAATCCACGTGTCAGACCCTTTGTCACATTACTCTACTTGGTAGAAATGTGATAGGTTGGAAATATAAAGACTTGAATGTTAGAACATGAAGTCCTATTCGCAGATCCTGCTGCAAGTGACTGGATTACTTAAAAGAAGAAATACGGGGAGCATCTACTGACCTTACTCAGCTCAGCATAGCCCCCATTTATATTCTCTTCCTGCTCCAACTGCCCTCCTAAGGAAAGGAATTCCAAGTCCTAGGTGTGGATTTGTCTAAGTTTCCTCTATCACTATCAATGCTGAATAGAAAATAAACATAAAAATAAAAATAAATCCCTTTTTCCTTTCCTGTGTACACTGCAAATTTTTCCTTTTCCTAATCAATATTAATTATGAGACCTCAAAAATAACAGGTTATCATTGTTTCTTTCCTTTTATTGGTCTATTTCTTTTATTTTCTACACATAATGTGTAATAGTCAATATTTTTTATATTGTAAGAGTTTTTTTTTAACTTTATTGAAGTATTTAAAACCAAAAGTAGTGCAATTTACAAATGGGAAAACCAAGATATTAGAACCTTCTGAAAAAATTACTAAAACTCTGTCTTACAAAACCAACCACCCAGTCTAAAAATAAATGACATAAGAATTTACTTCATTATTTTTAAAAAATTGATAGGTATTTTGAAGTAAGTTGCACTATTGGAAGTATAGTGATCTAAATTATTGGCTAACTTGTATGTTACACTTATTATCAAATCAAAGTTAACACAATCATGGTCAATATATTTAAGTGTTTTAGAATGTAATGTGTCCTTAAAATAAAATAAAATAAAATAAAATAAAATAAAATAAAATAGATCAATAATGAATTTCTCACTTATTTACCAAAGTTAAATTATTCGTATTAAGTCAAACAAATCATAATACCATTGTAGGTATTAAAAGCACAGAATATTATTTTAATTTTCAAAAGGGATTTATTTTTATAACACTTGCATACTATAATGCAACGGTTTTTAAAAATAGTTTAAAAAATTTTTAGATAAATTTAAATAGTTTTGTTCTTTTCATTGTTCTAACTGTGTGATTACCATGCTGACTATTTAACCTACAACTTTGATTATTTTCACTAGGTACTAACTTCTAGTATAAATAAAACTCAACACTAACTTTTTCTCTTTGCACTAAAAAAACTATCAATATACCACTTTCCATGAATATGTTTTGGACCTTAGCAGCCTTTCGAAACTATGAACTTATTTTGGTAAACATAGAAATATATTTTTCATGACATGTAAACATGCCAATGTAGCTTTTATACATTTGTAATGAAGAACACAATGTCAGTATGAGACTTGTTTATTTTCTTCAGAATATTGCGAGAGTAAGAAGGTGTTTATTTTCTCTATGAAAGTTGCAAGTGAAAATGGAATAAAAATACATTGAAAAATATTCTCATCAGACATATGGAGGTTTCTTCATTATTAATAAAGTATCTATCTAAGTATTTGCTTTCAAAGGTATTATAAACACCAATTTTTAACATGTTTAAGTTACATTTGGAAGGATAAATTAAACATCTAATATGCCTTGAATGTCATCCACACACACGCGCACACACACACACACACAGACACATAAAATCTATTCTCATAGCTTGAGATTTAAT
Source organism: Homo sapiens (assembly GCF_000001405.40). NCBI lineage: Eukaryota > Metazoa > Chordata > Mammalia > Primates > Hominidae > Homo > Homo sapiens. Next base: position 61,079,128 of record NC_000016.10, read on the forward strand.
TTGTTTTGTCTGATATATTTCCATGATATATGAGTCAAGGTTGAACACTTTATTCTCTAATTCATTGAGAGGAATTCTGTATCGAACATGTTCTTGCGTAGATCGACAGTAATGTACAAGTCTATTGATGATAACATTGATGGAAGAAATATTAACATGTGTTTCCAGGTACATTGTATACCTCACTTAATGGGATTTTTACAATATTCCTGTAGGGTGGCTTAGACTATTGTAGTGGGTTGAATGGTGGACCCCCAAAATATACCCATATTCTAAGCCCTGGAACCTGTGAATATCACCTTATATGGCATTAAGTGTGAACCTTATTTAATTTGGAAAAAAGGGTCTTCATAGGGCTAACGAACTTACAGATCTTCAGATGAGGAAATTACCCTGCACTGATTCAACCCAGGCAGAAGGGAAGAAGACATAGACAAGAAGGACATACGAAGAAAGAGGACAAAATTGGAGTTCTGTAGCCGCAATCCAAGGAACATCTGCAGTCACCAGGAGCTAACATCAGAGCCACTAGAAGCTGGAAGAGGCAAGAAGGATTCTCCTCCAGAGCCATTGGAGGGAATGAGGCTCTGTTGAGATTTTGGTTTTAAACTTCTGGCCTCCAGAACTGCAAAAAAATAGATTTCAATCGTTTTAAGCTACCAACTTTCTATCAATTGGTTAGGGCAGCCACAAGAAACTAATGCAAGTAACAATTCCATTCAACAGATAAGAAAACTGGCAGTTGGAGAGGTAAAATTAATCACCCGAAGTCATGAAGTTAGAGAGAGGCAAAGCTGGGGCTGAAACCTGGGCCTGTCAGAATCCAAAGACCTTGTTCTTAGCCATATTGCCGGTAAATACGTACCATGTTGGTCATTCATTTCTGTTTCTCTGCCTAATATGGTTAAGGCTTACATAATCATATAAGTTGTTGGTTTACCTAAAAGCTATTGAGGGCTTGTTCTGTGACTTTAGACTCTGAACAGCAAAATTTCAGGAAAAAGAGTACTTTTGTTATCTATTGCTATGTAACAAACTACCCCACAATGTAGTGGCTTGAAGAAACTGTTTTGGTTTGCCTCACTATTTTATGGCTCGGGAATTTAGGAGACAATTGATTGAGCAGTTTTTCTGCCTAATAGGGGCACTGACCTGGATTCACGTGGGGTCTGTTCTGGACTGGGGCTGGATTTCTGGTGCCCAGGTGCTTCTCCTAGTACCTTCTTCTTGCAACATATGAAGCAATTCTCCAGGGCCTCTCCTTATGACTTAGGCTTCTCATAACATGGTGATCTCATGGTAGTCACACTTCCTATATTGGGTTGGCTTACACTGTTTGTGGGAATGTAAATTAGTTCAACCATCATGGAAAATGGTGTGGCAATTCCTCAGAGATCTAGAACCAGAAATACGATTTGACCCAGCAGTCCCATTACTGGGTATATACCAAAGGAATATAAATCATTCTATAAGAAAGATACATACATGCATATGTCCAGTGCAGCATTCTTCACAATAGCAAAGACTTGGAATTAACCCAAATGCCCATCAAACATAGACTGGATTAAGAAAATGTGGTACTTATACACCATGGAATACTATGCAGCCATAAAAAGAATGAGATCATGTCCTTTGCAGGGACATGGAGGGAGCTGGAAGCCATTATCCTCAGCAAACTAACTCAGGAACAGAAAAACAAACACCTCATGTTCTCACTTATAAGTGACAGCTGAACAATGAGAACACATGGACACAGGGAGGGAAACAACACATACTGGGGCCTGTTAGGGGTAGGGTAGGGGGAGGGAGAGCATTAGGAAAAAAAGCTGACGGATGCTGGGATTAATACCTAGGTGATAGGTTGATAGGTGCAGCAAACCACCATGGCACAGGTTTACCTAAGTAACAAAAGTGAACATCCTGCATATGTACCCCAGAACTTACAATAAAAATAAAAATTTTAAAAAGGCTAAACCTGGAATTGGCGTAGTATTATTTCTGCTTTATAATGTTTATCAAATCAGTCATAAGTCTGCCTAGGATCAAGGAGCTGGACAGATCAGATTCTAACACTTAATATGTGAGTGGCATATATCTACATAGAAAAAAGCTAACAAAAGTGAAAATGAGGATTTCCTCATTTCAGAAGACTTTTTCAAAATACAAATATCACTGGGAAAGTTTATACCATAAATGCATATTACTTAATATTTTCCAGATATCACATTTATAAAAATTAGTTTGTTCTATTTGTGTTCAGCCCATTATAACATAGAAAAATGGGTTAAAGCCCAAAGCTAAGGCAGAAAGCCAATAAGTAATTGCCCAATTTTGGAGCATTCAGCTGGCCATTGCTAATTATAAAGCCTGGCAATGGCCATCTCATAGGCTCCCTTGAAGAAGTATGTTGCAGTATTACCACCTGTGGTAGAGTTCAACCTGTATTACAACCTTGATACATGTGCACATTTTCCATCAGAGTTCCATCTTAGAATTTACTTAGCTAAGTTCAAAAAGAGTAATCGTGAAGATGAGCAAGTGGTGATTCAAGGTCCCTGTGTACCTATTGATGCTGCAGAGTTTTTCAAGTATGTTAGAAATATTTCAAATTAACTGAGTACAACTTATGTGCCTTTCTTATCCTTTCATATGAACTCTTGGTATCAAGCAGAAGATCCCATCAAAGAAAAAATTCAATGGAAAGAATTCACATTCTGAATACTCTTTTCTTACCACTTCTGATAAATATGTATCTGCATGATCAAAGTCATATTATAAGAAGTGATAATAGTCATAGATAAACAAACTAGTCTCACCTCCAAGTTAGCTGTTGTCTCGCTGTTAGGTTTCCATGTTTCCAGAAACCACAGATGTTAGGGTTCTTCTGTGTTGTTTTTTTTTTTTTTGGCACAGAGTCTTGCTCTGTCGCCCAGGCTGGGGTGCAGTGGTGAGATCTCTGCTCTCTGTAACCTCCGCCTCCCGGGTTCAAGTGATTCTCCTACCTCAACCTCCTGAGTAGCTGAGATTACAGGCAACCGCCACCACACCCAGCTAATTTTTGTATTTTCAGTAGAGATGTGGTTTCACCACACTAGCCAGGCTGGTCTCAAAGTCCTGACCTCAGGTGATCTGCCCGCCTTGGCCTCCCTAAGTGCTGAGATTACAGGCGTGAGCCACCGCGCCTGGCGTGGTTCTTCTTTCTTGACCAGATCCAAGCCTGTCCATCTTCCAACCTTTGCACTTAACTCACAAAAGAATGTGTCATGGTTAAAAGACAGACACGTGTAGACTTGCAACTCAGCTTGTTTTTCTACCCCAAAGAGGTTTTTCCTTGGACATCCTGAACATCCCAGAGAGTCGGGTTAGAACTTATTTTCACACAAGACTACACCGGAGCCTGTACTGCTTTTCTGTGTGCTTCGCTTCTGGCCCTTACAAGGGTGCCTATCAGGCTCAAGGTGTGGCATTAACAACTCCCTCTGTTTCCAGAAAGAACAGCAACATGTGTAGCCTCTAGGAAGAAGCTTCAGATAGCTTCTTACCAAGCCTCTTCCCCGCTAGATTTCCCAGCTCTAATCTCAGTTCTACAAATGCCTTTCTAATTAATTTCATACTCACTTTTATCCCTCTTGTTAATTCCTTTAAATTGACTAAACTCATCTTGAAAATCTCTCTGACTTTCGATTATTTTATCTCCAATTTGCTTCTTTGTAGACCACTCCTCAGTTCTATGCAGTGAAACTCATTCTTATACCTGAGTTTCCTTCCAATATATCACTTATAAATTATAACTATCACCTACAACAAACTACATCTCCTTCCTAAAGAAGGCATTTTTGGTGCATTATATCAATCTGGCGCAACAAGAATAATGGAAATAGAATGGAATAGAATGTCTGTCTTCATTTCTCCCATCCAAATCCCAAGCTTCCTGGGAAGTAGCCCATTGTAAATCACGTATGCTTTCATTCTGTTTTGATGTATAGCAGAGTCTGGACTAAGAGTAGGAAAAATTATGATGTAGCCCCTCAGTAAACATTTTTCTCATATACCAAAATTTGCATACACTTACTTCTTTCTGTTATATATGCATTATATATGTTTGTATATATATGGGTTTAGTAAATATAATGTATATTACTTATAATTATTATTCGTGTGTGTAATGTTTATAAGATATCTTACAAGGATTTGGATGCAAGTATTTATTCATTTTGTAATCCTAGGAAGCAGGGTGAGGAAGTGAAAAATAAGACAAGGAAGAGAGGAAAGTCAATAAAAGAGCATTAAATTAATGAGCAGTATAATATGATGGATAACTGGGTTTAATCCTGCTGGCTGCCATCTGATAGACTGCATAAAAGCACTTCAGAACAGTTTCCTGAAAGCTGGGCTATTCATGCATCAACTCTGATTCCTCATTGGTCTGGGTTTGTCTTGGAAGCATTAACTCACTAACACTGGTAATTTGCTTGACTTACAGACAAAACATGCTCCTGTGGCCAGAGAAAGCATTCAGAGGGATGCAAGCAAATGAGGTAAGAAGTAATAAGTGTGTATGGGTATTGTCCACTAAGCTGTACCTGGCCTGGGGGTTGGGGAGAGCTTGATGAGCAGAGTCCTAAGAGTGTCTGCAACACTATTTTGGCTTGTTCTATTGTCTTTCTGCACTCAAACAGATTGTTATGCAGAACTCTTAGAGTGCATGCACCCACGATTGAAAACTATAATAAAAGATTATGAGATGCCCATGGGCAAAGATTAATTTTAGTAATCTCCATATTCACCCTTGCTGTGCCCAGCAGTATTCAGTTCTCATTATAGATGCTCAACCAATTCAATTTGGTGTCCAGATGGAATGTCTCATGTTTAAACAGTGATACTCTTTTTAGTTAGTCATAACTTAATTCACTCAAATCCCTTGGCTTGAGGTCTGGCATCACTATGGAATTAGCCATCATTCATTTTCAATTTAAATTAATTTTCAATAGCAAACCAATGACATTTGGAGACTAGAAAACCAAAGAATACGTTTCCAAAGTTTCTATTAAGTCTTCTGAAAAGACTGTATAATTGAATGCATTAACGTTTTAACAGTCCACATTGCATACCAAAGCCCTCTATAATCAAGTGCCTGGTGAATAAATTCTTGGCACTTCCATCTAGCTTACTGTAACAAATAGAATAGACTTATTTCAGGAATAAACCTTGACCACTCAAGCTAATGGGAATCCAGTTAGGTTTTTGCCAACCTCAGGAAACATCCATTATCAATAGATGCTGAGAAAATTACATTATAAATAAATGTTTTAGAGAGAAAATAGAAAGTGCCTCAAAGTTGACAGAAAACAGAATCTGTGATGGTATTATGATTGATTTTGGAGAGAAATAGCTGTAGATGTTGAAATACATGAATTGCTTTAAAATATTTCAGGCTTGTAAGAAGGAAGATTATTGACCTAAAAGATACTGAAGTATCTTAGTGACTTGTGATTTATATATAAATACATATTAAAAGATTGCTTAAAATTCATATTATTGATCTCATTGATTGCAGTGGCCCCAAGGGAGTCATTGAACACTTTGTAAATAATATATCTGGAAAAGATTGGGTTCGTGTTCTCAAATTCATGCAGACATTTCTAAATTTAATTCTAATGGTAATTGAAATTTACATAAAGAGGAAAAATATAACCAGGTGATAAGAGCTAATTACAAGCATCCATGTTTTGTGTAGCCAGAAACTTCTGCTGATGAGTTTTCCATGCAATATTGTCATCAGCTATTAAATTGTCTAAGATAGAAGAATATTATGCACTTAAAACAGTATTTTCCCTAGTCTCTTTAAATTGTGGTCAGTGGACTTCGGGTCAAATCCTGTCTTTACTCAACTTCCTTTTTTATCCTATTATGTGAGCAGAGGAGAAAATAGGTGTCAATTTTTAGTACCCAACTTAGAATATTTAGGAATTGCTATTCCAAAGGAAACACTAGAATACATATTTTATTTATTAAATGTCTCTTAATTACTGGGCATAATTTACAACCTCAGCTCAGGTCAAGATCAATTAAAGGAATAACGTTTCAGACCCTCGAAGAGATTAAAGCATTTAGAACACAACTTTATTCCAGAAGTTATTTGACTTCTAAGATTAGTATTTTCAACTTTTAAAAATAAATGCATGACTGTAATCCCATCCTCCTCCTATATGCCAAAAATATGGAAACAAATTAAGTCAAACTTGCATTACATGTTCCCATGTAAAAAAGGACCATTAGCATTATAAAAGCAAAAGACTTAAAAGAGAATATCTGTCAACTAGAATGACTCTTGGTTCGTAACCTTGAGCTTCAAACACACTATAAAAACACACCACATTTGTAAATGAAACCTGGAAAAGATAGTTTCCAAGGCATCCTCTACGTGGGAATACCATCTGTCTTCATTAGTAAATGACAGGAACCAACACCTGAGGAGCAAGTTCAATTTATTCTTTTTTATTATTATTATTATACTTTAAGTTCTAGGGTACATGTGCACAATGTGCAGGTTTGTTAAGAACACTGGCCTTCTATTAAAAAAACAAAACAAAACAAAACAAAACAAAAACAACTTGAGACTAGTTAGGAGCTAGCTGATTAAAAACTTAACTGAGATTCACATCCCTCAGACCAGTGACCTCAGTGGTAACATTAAAGATTTAGATTGGATCAGGGATATAAATAAGTGTTTTGTTGTTCGTTAGTTTTATTTTCTTAATTTGATTTCTTAATTTGATCCAGTGACCAAAGGCTGCCCGAATAATTTTGAGGCCACATCCAGGCACATCCAGAAAGAGTGAAATGAAGAAGTGCCAGTCATGGTCCTGGGATGTGATATTTAAGGCTCATCCCTTCTGTAGTCTATGAATCTATTGTGCTAACTCTAAAACTTCCTTTCGTAAAGAGTTGTGGCTTTCTTTTTTTAAAGCAAAATAGCCTTAATTTTAATAAGTTATACTTCTTCCTTTAAGGAAATTCCTTAACCTTAATTTTAACAAGTTATCTTCTTTCTCAAGTTTATCATTACATCTAAGTTAATAAATACATTTCTTTTGAGTGTTTGCCTATGATAGGAAACAATAGATTTGAGAATTTTGAGGTTCTCTGCATTGTATAGGGAAGGTGGGGTGTAATTCACACAAAATTGAAGGATGTTTGATATCTTTACAAATACCAAATTTCCCTGTCTAAAAACTTCGTAACTCTCAGATCTATGAATTTAGAGGAAATAAAATCGTGAACAGTTTATGGATGTATTCGTTAAAATCAATTTCAAGGACAATTAGTAACAACTCAAGAGTGCTTGTAATAGCAGCTGGCAATCAGTCATACAATGGCAGCAGCAGCCCGGGGGTTAAATCCTCCCTGCCCACTGTCTTACTGTGGCTGAGGTCATGGTATCCCAAGTCAGATTGCTCTGGTTCAAATGTGGGTCTATCACTTACTATTTGTAAGAGTTTTGGCAAAGTCCCTATTTTCCAAAATAGGGATATTGATAATACTCACTTTATCAGACTGTTGTGGGAGACATAACTAATTAATCTAAGTAAAACATTTAGGAGTGTTCCTACCAAAATGCCTTAAATATAAGATATGGTTGCTGTTACTATTGGTATTACCAGTAAGAACATTATTTGTAATGATTTTGATTTTTCTGGTAATAAATATTATTTAAGGGGGGGGATTACTAAAGAATGAACAAATATGCTAACATGTTGAGGGTGGGTGAATATGGGTGAAAGACATGGCATTGTTCTTTGTGTTATTCTCTTTCTTGCAAATTTTCTGGCAATTTGACATTATGGTCACAGGAAAAATGAAAGAGACATACAGAAGAAAATAATTAGTAAGACCAATTTTGGCCGTAAGAACAAAATGCTATTTTACCACCATTAAAAACACTATCGCCTGACATTTAATAGGAATTTTCAGTATGCCAAGCACCATGCTAAACACAGTGTATTCACAGTTATGCCTCATGTAACACTCACAGCAACTTTTAAGGTAGTGATGATTCCTGTTTTACAGATGGAACTATTCTGAATTTGAAGTTTGCAAACCTTGAACAGTCTAGCTCCAAATGTACACACATTGCAATTTTACAAAAACCTGCTATCTTAGACCTATCGGGATTTAATTTAAAGAGACAGTGTCTGAAAATTGGAAATCTACTGGATTTGCTTCTGAATTCAAGCTTTGCCATTCACTGGTTTTGTGACATTGACCAAATTCCTCATGAACCTCAGTTTCTCGCTCTATCAAAACAGAAAGTATTTACTTGTAGCTGTCAAGAAGCAACTAAGTTTAATTACAAATTCTTTTTCAACAAAATTACTGGCATAAAATATGAGCTCAAGAAATGACAGTTGTTGTCACACTGCCTGTAATCCCAGCACTTTGGGAAGCCGAGGCGGGCGGATCACGAGGTCAGGAGATCTAGACCATCCTGGCCAACACGGTGAAACCCCGTCTCTACCAAAAATACAAAAAAATTAGCCGGGCGTGGTGGCAGGCGCCTGTAGTCCCAGCTACTCAGGAGGCTGACGCAGGAGAATGGCATGAACCCGGGAGTCGGAGCTTGCAGTGAGCTGAGATGGCGCCACTGCACTCCAGCCTGGGCCACAGAGCGAGACTCGGTCTCAAAAAAAAAAAAAAAAAAAAAAAAAAAGAAAGAAAGAAGTAGTGTTAAAAATAAATAAAACCACCTTAGATCATCGAATTAATTGTATATATAAACTTAGAAAGTAATAAAATCTGGGGTGATATATCTATACTTCTACAAATGTAAGATGAACCAGACATAGAAATCATTCAGAAAATAAATGTAGGTACAAATGCATTCTAAGAGTTAGTTCTAAGAGGATCAGAATCTTGCCTCCTTTATTTAGTTTGTAAAGTGTATTTTTCACAGAGCATATAAAATGAACATTTAGACAGAATTTGGTACAATCTTTAAAGAGTAACAGAAACTGCAAAATTCATAAGATAACTTGACATTCACTATTGCTGGGAAAAAATGTTGTGTTGCTCCTGGAGGATGAAGTAATTTGGGGGTGTGGTATTTTACCTTAATTACTCCAGCTGGTTCAGTTTTCCTTTAGGAAAACCTGCTTTCATTCCCTTTTAAGAAATAGTTCTGGTAAATTATTCAAGTATTTTCACGTCAAAGCTCTTAATTCCATTTTTTTTTCTAACTCTAGTCCGAATAGTAAACATTTCTGAATTTTTCTTTTAAAGTCATTTAGGTAAGAACCTTTAAAATAAAAATCTGAGTTGGAAGGTGTCCCATGGAAGGAGAACCATCTCCTGTATAAATTTGATTGTATCCAAGAAATTCACTAGTATCTCTGGTTTCCAGCATCTCTCTGGTGCAGTTATCATGAAGCTAACAGACATGTTAAGTATAAAACTCTTCCTAATCAGGCATAATTCCTAGGTGATCATTGTCAGTGTATTTGATGCCTGCATCGATATTAATTGCACAAATTTCAGGCAGGATTATGCAGAATACAAGAAAAATCAGGCAGACCAGGAGGAAAAGGATTCTTAAGCTATTTTAGCAGCTTAGAAGTAAATCATAAAATGTCAAGCTACAGAAATTGGCTCCGATAAATATGATTTTTCTCCTGAATTAGTTCACTAAGCTTTTATCCTTTCTGAACACTTTCAGTCAATCCTAAATACTTTAAATGCCAAGCTTAATATTGAATAGTTATGCTACAGCACATATAGAAGATTGAAAGCAGCAGTTACTCTAGATGAGAATAAGTTATTTTATCTTCATTTAGAACCAGAAAAGGAAGATAATAACCAACATTTGAAAATACTGTAAATAAATGAATACTTCTAAAGAAGTTAGGTCATGTTTATCAAATGGGAAAATATAAATTACTTACAAAAATTCATAATCAGATCAATCAAGTTAGGTCTACACAATGTGCCTCCTACTTCATCACTTTACCCCTGCACCCACCCTCTGAGAGTTAATATGTCTGAGTTTCTGTAAGGGAATAGGTGGTTCTAATTGTAATTTAATTTTACATTTTTATTTAGAGGGAATTTAGATTTGACAACGACTCTAAAAATTGCACACCACCTGTCACTTGGCTTCCATTCTAGTGTGGTCTTTGCTTGATGCACATGAGTAAGTCCCAATAATGCTGAAGGAATTTGTGCGGAGAATGATATTTTGCATTGCTAGAGCTTCTATTGGAAATATTCTTTTGTTGAAACACACACACGCACGCACACACACAAAAGCATTATCATTCATTTTCCAAGTTTCCCAAAGAAAGGCTATTTTGTGTCATTTGACTCCCAAACTGTGATTTTTTCAGTATTAGACAAGATCACTTGGGATGTTAAAAAGGGCATTCATTTGGAAATCAGAAGAGAAGAGTTTAAGTCACAGTACACATCATTTATTAGCTGGGTAGCCTTGAACAAATCAGGTAATGTTGGATAGATTAATTTGCTTCAATTTAAAGTGGCTTGATTTGGCTTTAAGCTTTCTAAGATCAGGGGCCATATGATATTTACTACTCTATTTTATAATGTTTGATGCAAAATTTGTGAATAAAATATTTCTTGAATGAATAAATGTATGTTGCTGCACAATTTATCAGAATGAGTGATTATTTTTCCTAAGCTGAAGAGAGATATGTAGGAAATCATAAAGTTTCAGTGCACCTTTTATTAAAGGACACCCTCAGTTTATTTTATTGGCATGAAGTACCGCTTAAGGCAGAAATTCAAACCTTGTTTAGAAATATGAAGAAATCAAATGGGTTATTCTTTGTTTAATGTTCATAGAAGTCTACCAAATGGTGCTGTTTGTAATCAAGCAGCTGCTGTTTTATTCCCAATGACAAGATAATGCTTCAATGGTTTGTTAAGAAAGAGCCCATTTATTGCTTACTTCTGTATTTTTCCAGAACTTGTGTCAATATGTATCAGTAAAGGGAAATTCAGGGTATCAGGGTTGTTTTACCTACTGCAGTCAGAGCTCCTAAGAGATGTGTTCTCTGAATCCTCACTCTCCGCCTTGATGCCTGGGACCCAGCAGGTGCTAAATAGCATTTGAATGAATAAATACCATAAAGATAAAGGAATTACAAAAAGAAGAATACTCCCAAATAGCAATTTTTTTTTTTTTTTTTTTTTTTTTTTTTTTTTTTTTTTTTTTTTTAGTGAGAGAAAGAAGCTCTGGGCTTCTTTGTGTAGTGACTCTGCAACCTCAAGAAAAACTTGAGATTCTTGGCTTTTTAGTACTTTTGAGATCTGAATTCGACATAGAAGGTGGCTGGCAAGATGGTCAAATAGGAACAGCTCTAGTCTGCAGCTCCCAGCGAGATCAATGCAGAAGGTGGGTGATTTCTGCATTTCCAACTGAGGTACCTGGCTCATCTCATTGGGACTGGTTAGACAGTGGGTGGAGCCCACAGAGGGTGAGCAGAAGCAGGGTGGGGTGTCACCTCACCTGGGAAGTACAAGGGGTCAGGGAACTCCCTCCCCTAGCCAAGGAAATCCATGAGGGACTGTGCCTTGAGGAACAGTGCGCTCCAGCCCAGTCACTAAGCTTTTCCCATGGTCTTTGCAACCCGCAAACCAGGAGATTCCCTCAGGTGCCTACAGCACCAGGGCCTTGGGTTTCAAGCACAATACTGGGCAGCCGTTTCAGCAAACATGGAGCTAAGTACAGGAACTTTTTTTTCCATAAAGAGTGGTGCCTGGAATGCCAGCAAGACAGAACCATTCACTCCCCTGGAAAGGGGGCTGAAGCCAGCAAGCCAAGTGGTCTAGCTCAGTGGATCCCACCCCCATGGAGCCCAGGAAGCTAAGACCCACTGGCTTGAAATTCTCGCTGCCAACACAGCAGTCTGAAATCGACATGGGATGCTCGAGCTTGGTGGGAGGAGAGGCGTCCGCCATTACTGAGGCTTGAGTAGGTGCTTTTCCCCTCACGGTGCAAACAAAGCCACTGGGAAGTTCTAACTGGGTGGAGCCCACCACAGCTCAGCAAAGCCACTGTAGCCAGACTGCCTATCTATATTCCTCTTCTCTGGCCAGGGCATCTCTGAAAGAAAGGCAGCAGCCCCAGTCAGGGGCTTATAGATAAAACTCCCATCTCCCTGGGACAGAGCACCTGAGGGAAGGGGTGGCTGTGGGTACAGCTTCAGCAGACTTAAATGTTCCTGCCTGCTGGCTCTGAAGAGAGCAGTGGATCTCCCAGCACAATGCTGTAGCTCTACTAAGGGACAGACTGCCTCCTTAAGTGGGTCCCTGACCCCCGCGCCTCCTGACTGGGAGAAACCTCCCAGCAGGTGACACGTCATACAGGCGAGCTCCAGCTGGCATCTGGAGCGGGAGCCCCTCTGAGACGAAGCTTCCAGAGGAAGGAATAGGCAGCAATCTTTGTGGTTCTGCAGCCTCCGCTGGTGATTCCCAGGCAAACAGGGTCTGGAGTGGACCTCCAGCAAACTCCAGCAGACCTGCAGCAGAGGGGCCTGACTCTTAGAAGGAAAACTAACAAACAGAAAGGAATAACATCAACAAAAAGGATGTCCACACAAAAACCCCATCCGAAAGTCACCAACGTCAAAGACCAAAGGTAGATAAATCCACGAAGATGATGAAAAATGAGCGCAAAAAGTCTGAAAATTCCAAAAACCAGAATGTCTCTTCTCCTCCAAAGGATCACAACTCCTCACCAGCAAGGGAACAAAACTGGATGGAGAAGGAATTTGATGAATTGAACAGAAGTAGGCTTCAGAAGGTGGGTAGCAACAAACTCCTCCGAGATAAAGGCGCATGTTCTAACCCAATGAAAGGAAGCTAAGAACCTTGAAAAAGGGTTAGAGGAATTGCTAACTAGAATAACCAGTTTCGGGAACATAAATGACCCGGAGGAGCTGAAAAAACACAGCACGAGAATTTCATGAAGCATACACAAGTATCAAAAGCTGAATCAATCAAGTGGAAGAAAGGATATCAGAGATTGAAGATCAACTTAATGAAATAAAGCATGAAGACAAGATTAGAGAAAAAAGAATGAAAAGGAATGAACAAAGCCTCCAAGAAATGTGGGATTATGTGAAGAGACCAAGCCTCTGTTTGATTGGTGTACCTGAAAGTGATGGGGAGAATGGAACCAAGTTGGAAAACGCTCTTCAGGATGTTATCCAGGAGAGCTTCTGCAACCTAGCAAGAAGGGCTAACATTCAAATTCAGGAAATACAGAGAACATCACAAAGATACTCCTCGAGAAGAGCAACCCCAAGACACATAATCGTCAGATACACCAAGGTTGAAATGAAGGAAAAAAAAAATGTCAAGGGTAGTCAGAGAGAAAGGTTGGAGAACCCACAAAGGGAAACCCTTCAGACTAACAGTGGATCTCTGCAGAAACCCTGCAAGCCAGAAGAGAGTGGGGGCCAATATTCAACATTCTTAAATAAAAGAATTCTCAACCCAGAATTTCATATCCAGCCAAACTAAGCTTCATAAGCGAAGGAGAAATAAAATCCTTTACAGACAAGCAAATGCTGAGAGATTTTGTCACCATGAGGCCTGCCTTACAAGAGCTCCTAAAGGAAGCACTGGTACCACCCACTGCAAAACATACAAAATTGTGAAGACCATTGACACTATGAAGAAACTGCATCAACTAATGGCCAAAATAACCAGCTAGCATCATAATGACAGGATTAAATTCACACATAACAATATTAACCTTAAATGTAAACAGGCTAAATGCCCCAATTAAAAGACACAGACTGGCAAATTGGATAAAGAGTCAAGACCCATCAGTGTGCTGTATTCAGGAAACCCATCTCACTTGCAAAGACACACATAGACTCAAAATAAGGGGATGGAGGAATATTTAGAAAGGAAATGGAAAGCAATAAAACAGCAACAAACATCAAAAAAGACAAAGAAGGGCATTACGTAATGGTAAAGGGATCAATGCAACAAGAAGAGATAACTATCCTAAATATATATGCATGCAATACAGTAGCACCCAGATTCATACAACAATTTATCAGAGACCTACAAAGAGACTTAGACTCCCACACAATAATAGTGGGAAACTCTAACACCCCACTGTCAATATTAGACAGATCAATGAGACAGAAAATTAACAAGGATATTCAGGACTTGGAACTCAGCTCTGGACCAAGCAAACCTAATAGACATCTACTGAACTCTCCACACCAAATAAACAGAATATACATTCTTCTCAGCACCACGTCACAATTATTCTAAAATTGACCACATAGTTGGAAGTAAAACACTCCTCAGCAAATGAAAAGAACAGAAATCATAGCAAACAGTCTCTCAGACCACAGTGCAATCAAATTAGAATTCAGGATTAAGAAACTCACTCAAAACTGCACAACTACATGGAAACTTAACAACTTGCTCCTGAATGACTACTGGGTAAGCAATGAAATTAAGGCAGAAATAAATACTTTTTTGAAACCAATGAGAACAAATACACAATGTACAAGAATCTCTGGGACACAACTAAAGCAGTGTTTAGAGGGAAATTTATAGCACTAAATTCCCACAGGAGAAAGCAGAAAAGATCTAAAATCGACACCCTAACATCATAATTAAAAGAACTAGAGAACAAGAGGAAACAAATTCAAATCTAGCAGAAGACAAGAAATAACTAAGATCAGAACAGAACTGAAGGAGATAGAGACAGGAAAAACACTTCAAAAAATTGATGAATCTAGGAGCTGTCTTTTTTTTTTTAAAGATTAACAAAATAAATAGACCACTAGCCAGACTAATAAAGAAGAAAAGAGAGAAGAATCAAATAGACACAATAAAGGCGATATCACCACTGATCTTACAGAAATACAAACTACCATCAGAGAATACAATAAACACCTCTATGCAAATAAACTAGAAAATCTAGAAGAAATGGATAAATTCCTGGACACATACATCCTCCGAAGACTCACCCAGGAAAAATTCGAATCCCTGAATAGACCAATAACAATTTCTGAAATTGAAGCAGTAATTAATAGCCTACCAATCAAAAAAAGCCCAGGACCAGACAGATTCACAGCTGAATTCTACCAGAGGTCAAAAAGAGGAGCTGGTACCATTCCTTCTGAAACTGTTCCAAACAGTAGAAAAAGAGGGACTCCTCCCTAACTTATTTTATGAGGCCAGCATCATCCTGATAGGAAAACCTGGGAGAGACACAACAAAATAAGAAAATTTCAGGCAAATATCTCTGATGAACATCAGTGTGAAAATCCTCAATAAAATGCTGGAAAACTGAATCCAGCAGCATATCAAAAAGCTTATCGACCATGATCAAGTCGGCTTCATCCCTGGGATGCAACGCTGGTTCAACACATGCAAATCAATAAACAAAATTCACCACATAAACAGAACCAATGACCAAAACCACATGATTATCTCAATAGATGCAGAAAAGACCTTCGATACAATTCAACACCCCTTCATGCTAAAAACTCTCAACAAACTAGGTATTGATGGAACGTATCTCAAAATGAAAAGAGCTATTTATGACAAACCCACAGCCAGCATCGTGCTAAATGAGCAAAAGCTGAAAGCATTCCCTTTGAAAACTGGCACGAGACAAGGATGCCCTCTCTCAACCACTCCTATTCAACATAGTATTGGAAGTTCTGGCCAGGGCAATCAGGCAAGAGAAAGAAATAAAGGTATTCAAATAGGAAGAGAGGAAGTCAAATTGTCTCTGTTTGCAGATGACATGATTGTATATTTAGAAAATCCCATCGTCCCAGCCAAAAATCTCCTTAAGCTGCTATGCAACTTCAGCAAAGTCTCAGCATACAAAATCAATGTGTGAAAAATCACAAGCATTCCTATACACCAATAATAGACAAACAGAGAGCAAAATCATGAGTGAACTCCCATTCACAATTGCTACAAAGAGAATAAAATACCTAGGAAAACAATTCACAAGAGATGGGAAGAACCTCTTCAAAAATAACTACAAACCACTGCTCAAGGAAATAAGTGAGAGAACACAAACAAATGGAAAAAACATTCCATGCTCATGGATAGGAAGAAACAATATCATGAAAATGGCCATACTGCCCAAAGTAATTTATAGATTCAATGCTATCCCCATCAAGCTACCTTTGACTTACTTCAAAGAATTAGAAAAAATTACGTTAACTTTAATATGGAACCAAAAAGAGCCTGTATAACCAAGACAATCCTAAGCAAAAAGAACAAAGCTAGAGGCATCATGTTACCTGACTTCAAACTATACTACAAGTCTACAGTAACGAAAACAGCATGGTACTGGTACCAAAACAGATATATAGACCAATGGAACAGAACAGAGGCCTCAGAAATAATGCCACACATCTACAACCACCTGTTCTTTGACCAACCTGACAAAAACAAGCAATGGGAAAGGATTCCATTTTAATAAATGGTGTTGGGAAAACTGGCTAGCCATATGCAGAAAACTGAAACTGGACCCCTTCCTTACACCTTATACAAAAATTAACTCAAGATGGATTAAAGACTTGAATGTAAGACCTAAAACCATAAAAAAGTTAGAAGAAAACCGAGGCAATACCATTAGGACATAGGCATGGGCAAAGACTTCGTGACTAAAACACCAAAAGCAATGGCAACAAAAGCTGAAATTGACAAATGGGATCTAATTAAACCAAAGAGCTTCTGCACAGCAAAATAAACTATCATCAGAGTGAACAGGCAACCTACAGAATGGGAGAAAATTTTTGAATTCTATCCTTCTGACAAAGGGCTAATATTCAGAATCTACAAGGAACTTAAACAAATTTACAAGAAAAAAAAACCCATCAAAAAGTGGGTGAAGTATATGAACAGACATTTCTCAAAACAAGATATTTATGTGGCCAACAAACACATGAAAAAAGCTTATCATCACTGGTCATTAGAGAAATGCAAATCAAAGCCACAGTGGGATACCATCTCATGCCAGTTAGAATGGTAATTCTTAAAAAGTCCAGAAAAAACAGATGCTGGAGAGGAGAAATAGGAACACTTTTACACTGTTGGTGAGAATGTGAATTAGTTCAACCATTGCGGAAGACAGTGTGGTGATTCCTCAAGGATCTAGAACCAGAAATACCATTTGACCCAGCTATCCCATTGCTGGATATATACCCAAAGGATTATGAATCATTCTCCTATAAAGACACATGCACATGTATGTTTATTGCAGCATTATTCACAATAACAAAGACTTGGAACCAACCCAAATGCCCATCAATGATTGACTTGTTAAAGTAAATGTAGCACATATACACCATGGAATACTATGCAGCCATAAAAAAGGATGAGTTCATGTCCTTTGCAGGGACATGGATGAAGCTGGAAACCATCATTCTCAGCAAACTAACACAGGAACAGAAAACCAAACACTGCATGTTCTCACTCGTAAGTGGGAGTTGAACAATAAGAACACATGAACACAGGGAGGGGAAAATCACACACAAGGGCCTGTCAGGGGGTGGGGGCAAGGGGAGGGATAGCATTAGGAAAAATACCTAATGTAGACAACAGGTTGATGGGTGCAGCAAACCACCATGGCACATGTATACCTATGTAACAAACCTGCACGTTCTGCACATATATCCCAGAACTTAAAGTATAATAAAAAATAAATACATAAATACAATTAAAAAAAGAATTCGACATAGGAGACAGGCAGAGAAAATTAAAATAATAGCTATGTCATTTTCTATTTGTGTATAATTTTATTACATTGCTAAAGTTTTTGAAACTTTATGCCATTTGTTAAATGTGTATATAAACTATAATCCACAGAGCTATTTTGAGGATTTAACAAATATATGTAAATATCCAAGCACATATTCCTATTTAAGACAAATGAATGAGTTAATCCTTTTTTTTTTTTTTTTTTTTTTGTCAGGAGACTGGGGACAGAGTAGCATGGTTCTTTGCTCAAGTCTCACAAGGTGAACTCAGAGTTGGCTATTACTGTCATCTCAAATGAGGCTGGAAATTCTCTTCTAACCTCACCAGTTGTTGGCAGAATCCAGTTTGTTATGGTTATAGGATTGAAATCACCATTCGTTACCTGTCTGTCTTCTGGAAGCCACTCTCAGCAACTAGATAACTCTTCCTTGAGGCCAGCAGTACACAGCATGTCTCTGGAACTGAACCACCTTCTTTTAAAGGGTTCACTTGATTAATTCAGGCCTGCCTAGGATAATTTTCCTTTTGATTAACTCAAAGTCAACATATTAGGGACCTTAATTACATTTTCAAAATGTATTCCATACAATATAAGAGTAGTAGTGGTATCCCATTATATCCATTCAAGAGGAAGGGATTCTACAGGGTGTTTTCACCAGGGTTGGAATCTTGGGGAATCTTGGGCCACAAATAAGAAAGTGTCTCCCAGCAGAACAGGCTTTCCAAGTTCCCAAAGTTTTTGCTTTCGTTACGTGTTAAAACAAGACCCTGAAATGGAATGAGAGATAGTCCCTTCCTTTCCTCCTTCCTGTGTGGCAACCCTGGCTTTTTGTTTCTACTTTGCAACATCAAGCTTAGTTAGCTTGCTGTTTTATTGCACTACTGTGGACAGAAAATAAAGGCAGCCTCTACCAGACCTGTGTACCCTGGTCTTTCCCTGTTGCATCTACCATGCACTTGATCTGCTCCCTCCAGCCTGCTCTTTCAGTTCCTTAGGCTTTTCTTTGATTATTATTCATCAACAAACCATAATTGTATACATTTATGGGGTACAATGTCATGTTGTGATATACATCTACTATGTAGAATTACTGAATAAAGCAAGTTAACCTATCTGTCACCTCGCTTCCTTATTTTTTTGTGGTGAGACATTTGGGATTTACTCTCTTAGTTATTTTGAAATGTACAATACATTATTATTGACTATAGTCATCCTGCTGTGCAGTAGGTCTCAAAACATATTCCTCCTGTCTAACTAAAACTTTTTTCCCTTTGACCAACAACCCTTTATTCCCCTCCCAATCCAGCCTCTGGTAAGAACCATTCTACTCTCTACTTATAAAATGCTGACTTTTTTTAGATTCCATATGTAAGTGAGATAATGTGGATTTGTTTCTCTGTGTCTGACTTGTTTTGCTTAGCATGGGGTCCTCCAGGCTTACTCCTTGTGTTGCAAAAGACAGAATTCCCTTTTTTAAGGTTTCATAGTATTCCATGTGTATATATGTCATATTTTCTTGAACCAGCCATCTTTCAATGGACACTTCAGTTGACTACCTACTGTGGCTATTGAAAATAATACCACACTGAACATGGGAATACAGATCTCTCTTTGTGATACTGGTTTCATTTTCTGTGAATATATACCCAGAAGTGGGATTCTAGGATTATATGTTCTACTTTTATTTTCTTTTCAGGAATCTCCACACAGTTTTACATGGTGGTTTTACTAATTTGCATTCCCAACAGCGATGTAGAAGGGTTGCCTGTTCTCAATATCCTGGCCAACCCTTAGCTTCGCCTTGACAGGTGTGAGGTGGTATCTCACTGTGGTTTTGGTTTGCATTTCTCTAAGGATTAGTGATGAACCTTTTTTTTTGTAAGCCTGTTATCTCTCTGTATGGTTTGTTTTGAAAGTGACTGTTCCAATCCTTGCCTCATTTTTAATTAAATATTTTTTGCTGTGCAAAACAGAGGAAGAAGAAGAAGAAGAGGAGGAGGAGGAGGAAGAAGAAGGAAGAAGGAAGAAGGAGGAGAAGAAGAAGAAGAAGGAGGAGGAGACTCCATTAAAAAAAAAACTCCTGGAATCCTTAACATACATTTACTACAGGTAATTCAAAATTTTTAAAAATTCAAGTTAGCACTGAAAGGTGTAAGAGAATCATGGCCATTATCCAATTATAAATTGTGTACCAAAGTAATATTATAATATATTATCACTGTATAATATTATATAGTTAAATGTCTAATGATTTCAAGTTGTTTGCCATTGCTGAATACAGTCTCCTGATTGACCACCATAAAATAAATATATGATTAGCCAATGATAAAAGTGAAAAGTACCCAAGTTCCCTCATCTTGTGAAATCAAGGAAATAATAAAAAATTGGCTAAGATCATCAGTAAAGTCAGTGGTGAAGGTGAATTTACAACACAGGCCTTCTAATTATTGGTTTTACTTTATTCAATAATTAAACACTATTTAACAAACGTTTTCATAAAATATATGCTTGAACTTTCTGAGACACTACTCTCTCTGACCTTCTTAAACATAAGATTTCTCCTTGATTTAAAATTTTAAATGGCCAATAATTTTCTCTGTTTCAGAAGAAACTCAGATTTTCTAGTCAAGCATCCCTTATTTTAATAGGGAAATTACTTAAAGATTGGACATTTTTATCGATAGCTCCTTGTTTGTCTTGTTTTGCATATAATTTCAATATCCTATGTAGCTTTAATGTAATAATTTAGATCAATATTTTTTAAAAGAATTAAATCCAAATATTTTTTTCAGTAAAAGATTTGTGAGGTTTGTTATACCAAAGTTTGTTTCTCTGAGTTATGTGGAATATATTATCCTTGTTCAGAGATGGTTAGCAATGTTTTTAAAACACTCAGCTATTTATGGTTTCATCAAGAGCAGAATTATTTAATAAACTTTGCAATTCTTGATTTCAGTGTTAGAATTGTTTACCCTGAAGCTTTTCTCAAGGTAAAACCAGCTTGCATTCTCATTACTCTCCAGCTCATCTTATTGCAGTAAAAGAAAGCAAATATTATTGAATTGGAAAGGAGACTGAAAATAAACAGTGAGAAAATATTTGTTTCTCCAGATGTTCTACAAACACAACTTTCTCCCATGTTTCTCCACCAAGCACTTAAAATCTGGCATTTTCTAAGTCAACAATGCCTACTGTGAATTAGGGAAAAAATCAAGTAAAGTATATGAATGGCACACTCAAACTCATTAAAAAAATATTATTTGTGATTTTTGAGACAACCTGTGTTCAGCATTCCTCAGGATGAAGACAGGCCTCTCCAAATTGCTGGGAACATGTGGCAGCATTTGCAACAACATGTACCTTCCTGCATTAATAAGAGATTGGTAAGACAATGGATTTAGCTAAGCTAAAGTCTATAAAAGAAAGACTGTGCTCAAATGTGATGGTCACTTAGGGTGATGAACCACCTTGATTAGCCTGGGACTGATGAGGCTCCTGGGACACAGAAGTTTATGTTTTAAAACCAGGACAATCTCTGAGGAGCTATGTTGATTTTCCTGAGGCTCGAGGGGTGCCTAGATCACAGTACTTTCAATACTAAACCCAGGACAGGCCCAGGCAAACTGAGATGAGTCCATCACCCTAGAACAAACACTAAGTCAAGGGACTCCAGAGGTTCTATAAAGTTCAGGATTGCAGAGGCAAAAATGTAGATGCTGTAAATCAGGGCATACATGACCAGGTAATAAAAAAGATGTAAGGTGAGATGATAGTCTTGAGTTAATTATCACCATTCCTAGCTGATTTATTGTCTCGTTATATGTATTGGAAAATAAATGACTGAATCAGGATATAGAAATATGTCTGCATTCCTAGCCCAACTGTACCACCTAATAGCTTTGAAGGTTAGGGCAAGTAACTTTAGTCATCTCAGCCTCAAACTCCTGTTTATGAAATGGGGCTAAGACTTCTATTGTGCAGATTTTTTGACGAGCATCAAAACAGATTTCTTCGAAATGGAGCTGTTATTGTTATTTTTATTTATCTGACTTAAGGGCTAAGAACTGGAATAGAACATAGAAAGGACATCAACATGTCATTATACTTAACTTTTTAATAAAATCTTCAATTTTCCTTTTTATTTAGTTAGTTTAAATTATTTGATGACATATTCTTAAATTAACATATTAGTGAGTGCCTTCAGAGGTGTCTTAAAATATCAAATATCGATTAAAGTATTCAGATATTCTGATTATCTTATGCAAATAAGATAAATAATGTAAATGTTGTAGAGTATATAGAGCTTCATGAAAAAATTAGAGATGCTATGGCAATTAAACATATGTATTCAATATTGGAACTTCAATCCAAAATATCTTCCAAAATATCTCTCTTTTCTTCTTGGAGCTTTTCATATTTTAGAGACAAAATGCAAACATTGATGTTTAAAGCTTTTTCAAAGATATGCTACCAATTAAAGCAGGAAAGCAGTAGATAATTGATTGCTTTTTGACCTTTGAGAACTAATTTAGGAGATAAATATGGCTGCCAATTAAAGGCTCAAATCCAAATAAAACAGTTTTTTAAAATCCTCTATTTTCAAAAGTTTTAAAAGAAAATCATACTGGTAATTATAGGGGAGAAGGATTGTTTTCAGAAGTAATAGGGGATTTAGAGACTGTCTTGTCCATTTTATTATACAGACAGGGCAAAGGACGCACAGACTAGAGAAATGTCATACCCTAAACCACTTAGGTATTTTCTCTGAGTTTTAGAACTTAAATCAAGTTTGGGAACAAAAAATAATACTTCACTTTTAGTATTGTGAAAAAAGTACTGTCTTTAAAAAGAATATTATCCTGAATTGAATTACTTTGACTAACACATAGGTAATAAATAAATGGAAGATCCACGTAGAATGGAAAAGATATTTATTGTTTTCTAATACTTGTTAATATAAACCACATTATTATTGTCTATTATTTATTTTTTCCTTCACATATCACCCACAATTAAAAAAGAAAATTATCCTTCAATGTATATAGACTATTTCCTGTTTGAAGTTGACATTTCCCAATGGGAAATATTGTTACATAAGCTGCCTAAATAGAAAACTACTGTTTTCAGCAAGGGTTTGAGATTCATAATGTAAATAGTATGTGTGTTGGGGGATGGGGGTAAAGGAGGGACGGGGGAGTTCTTCTTAGAGGACAAATGTTCCTATAAGAGATTAGTATTAACATCCAATGAGTGAGGAGATGGTTGCTAATTATTTTCCAGATAACTAGCAATTTCACTTGGAAAAACTGGTTGAGGAAATACAGTGTTGATGTAAGGAAAACATGAGCCACTGAAAAGTAAATTAAAAGATAACAATAAAAAATAACTAGGAACTTGGGAATTTATCCCATAAAATAAACAGTTTTGACATTACTTATCAGATTGCACTGATTCCATGATTGGTATGTTGAAGAAAAATATAAAAACAAAACAAACAAACAAACAAACAAAAACCCCACAGAATCTTTGCTTCTGAAATCTCCCAAGTTAGGGTCAGTTTGTGGTGAGATAGAAAAAGTGGGCCAAATCTGCAGTCCCATTCATTCCAATGTCCTTATATCTTCTTATGTCTTTAAGAATTTCCAATCTCGTTGCAGTAACCAATTATCACTTTCACTTTATTGCTTTTCAAAGTAGAATGCTAGTGTTTTATTCTATAGGTCATGATGGTGACTCAGAAAAGGTGTTAGAGCAATGATTGACTTCAGACCTGTGATATAGCACAGTGACAGATGATTGAAGTACAAAAGCCACTCCATGATCCTCACAGTCTTTTCCATCTAAGTCATGCCCTCCCTTGCCAAGCTCACCTCCTCACATACATATACTTGTGCC
Source organism: Homo sapiens (assembly GCF_000001405.40). Lineage (NCBI taxonomy): Eukaryota > Metazoa > Chordata > Mammalia > Primates > Hominidae > Homo > Homo sapiens. The sequence goes on from NC_000016.10 coordinate 61,102,796, forward strand.
CTATTCCAGACACTGTGTATTCTCAGCTACACAGAGCATGTCTCTATCCTTTGTTTATGGCAGTTGCTCAGCTTGAAATATCTCTCAATTGCCTGTCAATTTAACCCTTAAGGCACAGCTCAAATGTGTTTTTTATCTATACATATGTATTGTTCTGTGGTAGAGATGCATTCAATAAATCTATTATAATAATTTTATAAACCTTATAAATCTATTATAATACCTTCTTTAATTTTCCTAATATTACAGGTAGGCTTGAACCCATTGGCCTTCCCAGACTGTGAGTTCCTTAGGCATTATGACCATCGTCCTAAACTTGTCTGCTGTATGTTTCATAATGTTTGACCTAGATTTAATTTAATACATATTTATTGACTTTAAATGTTAACTAAGCAGGCTTTAAAGCAGACCTTGCAGTGTAGGTGGGGGAAACATAAGGCATTTGAAAGTACATATTCTGAGAAAGTTTTGTACCAAGAATGTTGTCCTAATTTTGAATACAAATCAGTAAAAGTCATACTTCACTTTATCATTTCTGTGAACACAAATTAAATCTATTATATAAAGTTACAAAGTTAAAGCCACTTTTAGAATTACTGCACATTACCATGCTTCTGCAAAAATGTGTCTTTTCAATTTTTAAAGAAAACTAAATATAAGGTCACTCTTATACTATGTGTTAAACAGAAGCATTAGAAGCCACATATGATTTTAAATATTATCTTCTATATAACTGATGGGGTATTTGAAAAGCCTCACTTGATCGTCTGTCAAATAAAGATATGTTTTCCTCTTTCTCTATTAAATGGTATTTTTGTCCTTGCAACATTTTTCTATAAGGCATTAGCTTTCAGCAGTTGTCTCTTATCAAAGGAGACAAAGCTTTCAACTTAATTGAATTTGAAAAGTACAAAGATTGAGCTGACTTACCAAAATGTATGTGATGGCTTTAAAAACGTAAACAAAAATGGATGAAATTGACATGCTGGCTAAAGTATACCCGTTGAAAAAAAGGCATAATAAAAGGACAATTTAATCAAAGATAAAAAAGTCAATAAAAATGAAATTATATACACAATAAAATTTATGATAATGAACTTGACATTTTTAGATCTTAAAATACCCAGCTACATATACAATCTCTAAAACATTCTAAAATAAAATGTACATTAGAGAGTCCATCAGTGTAGATATTTTTATGTAGAAGCATTTGTTAATGTGAAACTCCCCCCAAAACACTGCAAATCAATGGAAGTAAAAATAAAAAAAAGGAGTTTAACTAAAGGAGAGCATGAGGAAAACAACCATTAAGCATGGCAGCTGAACTATCCTGATGGCTACCAACCTGTTTTGTACCAATTACGCCATAATGTGTATGACTTTGGCTAAGTTATTTCAAATTCCTAGACCTAGGCCAAGGCGGGCGAATCACCTGAGGTCAGGAGTTTGAGACCAGCCTGACCAACATGGTGAAACCCCGTCTCTACTAAAAATACAAAAAAATTAGCCGGGTGTGGTGGTGGGTGCCTGTAATCCCAGCTACTCGGGAGGCTGAGACACTGAGACAGGAGAATCGCTTGAACCTGCGAGATTAAGGTTGCAGTGAGCCAAGAACGCTCCACTGCACTCCAGCCTGGGCGACAGGGTGAGACTCCATCTCAAACAATAATAATATAATAATAATAATTAATGAGTTTTCTAGATATGGCCATAGCTGTTAAAAAGTTACTATTCCATTCCTGTAAAAATCTTTGTATTGACATTTTCTTTGTTTTTTTTCTTCAGTAAACAGTTAGAAATGGGATGCCTGCATCATATGGTAGGTGGCTGTTTACTTTTTAAGAAAGCACAACTACTTTTCATATTATTTTACATGGCCACCAGTAGCATATACAGTTTCAGTTGTTCCACATACTTGCCAGCACTTGGTATGATTAGCTTTTTAAAAGTTAGCATTCCACTGGGTATGAAATGGCACCGTGTTACAGTTTTAATTTATTTTTCCCTAATGATTAATAATATCAAACATCATTTCATAGGCTTCTTTGTCATTAATATATCTTCTTTGGTTGCGTTTATTCAAAATTTTAATTGGATTTTTGTCTATCTATAATTGAGTTGTATGAGCTATTTTTATATACTGGATTCAAGCACTTTCTAGAATAAATATTTTGCAGGTATTTTATCCCACATTATGGCTTGCATTTTCATGTTTTTAGCAGTGCTTTTCAAATAACTGAAGTTTTTCAATTTGAAGTCTAATTTATGATTGTTACATTTTTCTTTTTCTTTTTTGCCTACTAATAAAATCTTTCCCTAAGCAAATGTCACTATGATTTTTTTCTCCCATGTTATCTTCTAGAAGTTTTACAGCATAGTATGAATGGCCAAGGTTCATATTTTTTCACATGGATATGCAATTGTTCTAGCACCATTTGTTGAAAAGTTTATCATTCCCTATTAAAATTACCTTGGTATATTTGTTAAAATCAATGTACAATGTGTGCCTGGGTCTAGTTAATGTCTCCTTGTTCTATTTCTTTGATCATTATGCAGAGCTTTTCAATAATACAGACTGTTTAGATTGTTTTACTTCATAAATCTTGAAAGCAGGTAGTGTACATTCTCCAGCTTTGCTGTTCCTTTTCAAAACTGTGTTGGCTGTATCAGTTTTCTATTACTCTATGACAAATGGTCAAGTCCGTCGTGGCTTAAAATACTTGTTATTTAACATTTTCCTTAGATTAAGACTCTGAGCAGAGTGTGATTGAATTCACTGCTTAGGATCTCAAGGGTGAAATCAGGAGGTCTGCTGGGGCTCTGTTCTTATCTGAGGCTCAGGATCCCTTTCCAAGATCATCTAGGCTATTGGAAGAATTCCATCCCTTCTGACTGAAGAGCTAAAATCTCTGTTTTCTTGCTGGTTGTCTGGCCATGACTCATTGGCAGCTTCCAGAGGCTCCTGTCAGGTTCTTGCCACGTGGAGCTCTCTGGATCCACACACTCTCTTGCTTCAGATCTCATTCTGCAGGGAGAGTCTAGTTCCTTGGAAGGGCTCACCTGACGAGGTCAGGCCCACCTGGGATAATCTCTCTTGATTTACTCAAATTGAACCGGTATGGGACCTGAATCACACCTGCATAATCCCTAATATTTTCCCATATAATAAGATATAATCCAAACTATGAAATCTGTTTTGGCTTGGATGATATCCAAGGGATTATCTAGAACAAGTCCACCAAGATGTGGAAATTTGGGGAACCACCTTATAATTCTGCTCATCACAGCCATTCTATGTCCTTTCTATTTTCTTGTACATTTTAGAATCACCTTGTCCATTTCTTCAAAAAAATGTGTTGAGTATTTGAACTTTTGTTGAATCTATAGATCGATTTCAAGAGAAATGATTTGTTAAGAATATTGAGTCTTTGAATTCATTGGCATCTGGTAAGTCTCTGTTTACATTTCTTTAATTTCTCTCAGTAATGTTTTAGTTTACACTGTAAAGTTCTCACATGTCCGTTGTCAAATTTATTTACATATTTTGATGCATTTGCCAAATTAACAAATATTTTTAATTGATTCATGAAGTGAAAAAGCATACACTTTTAGATGCACTGTGAATTCTGTAGAAGGATTAATACTACTCAGAACACAGGCACATATAAGGAGGTTTAGGGATTGCTAAAGGCTATGAATGAACTGCCTGCGGTGAGCTAAAATTTAGGTCATTTTTTTTCCCCTGATGATCTAGCATGATTTTGTTTTTGTTATACTGACCATGATCGGAAAATATTGAAACCATATCTCTGAATGTTCATACATACCTAATTTTGCATGAAGTAACTGCTTTATTGTTTAACATCGTGTCTGCTGAGTTGAACAATATTTATCTCAGGCATAGTACCCGATTTGACTTAGGGAGATTTTGTGTGTGTGTGTGTTATGTGTTGGTGTGTGCATGTGTGTGTTCATGTTGATAAGGTGGTAGTAAATATTCCAAATCAAACTTGGCCTTATATAAAGAGCTACCGTTATTGGTAGAGTTGTCCTAAGACTGCTAGATGTACTACCTCAGATAGGATAATGCAATCTCATTAACCAAGATCTGTGTAGTTTCAAAGTAGAAAGAATTTAGCATGTCAGAAAAAGCAATGATATTGGAGCAGGTAAAAATCCAGAGAGAAGTGACAGAGATCTAAACCATATAGACAGAGCTACAACCAAGACTACAGGTTCAGAGCTGAATCAAGAAGTACTACTGTTAACAAGAGCTGATCCAATGTGGAAGTCTTCTGGATTACTCGAATGCTTTGCTAACTTAGGGTTGGGTTTCCAAAGTGCTTGAACCTGGGCAAAAATTGTTATCCCAGTGGGAATATCAATAAAAATACATTAATGGAACAAAAAGAGTCATTTTTTTCTTTTCTTCCCTCATCAGTGTTATTGTATGTTTTGCATTTTTGACACATTGACTCAGTACAAAAGGTAATTGGAGATGGTGGAAATAGAGCTGCCTAGGCTAAAGTACAGACAAAATAGCACTGGAATACCAAAGCTGAAATCAGTAGAAAACAAGGTCAGAATGATGAAAGCATTTAGGTAAAGAGAGAAACCTTAAAAACCTTTAAATCACAGCAAGGTTGGTGTGAGCCAGAAGATAGATATCAGCCTAAGAGATTCTCAAAGCAAAATGAGGAAATGTAGCAGTTACAGTCCATAGTGCAAAAATCAGATATTCCAAGATCCACAGGAAAATTTCCTTCCTTTTTTCATTTGAAGTCTTAAAGTCATCCTCTGTTGTAATGAGGACTCTGTGGAGACCCAGACTGATCATTAGAAACATTTGGGTCTTCACACCTTGAACAAAATAAATGCAACCCTCACATCAGGTGTTCCTGAAACCATTTTTACTTTTTCATACACATTACAGTGACATGTCATTGTGCATTTTTGTTGGAATTGACTAACACCAAAGAGGGCAATGCATTTTCTTGTGAGAGTTTTCATAATCTCCTGGTCTTGCTGTGTACTGCATGTTTATCATTAGTTGTTTGTTCCTGAACCTTACTTCGTCTAAACAAAAAAGCCTACCTCATGGGTTTATTATGAGAAGTAAATTTGAGAATGCCCATGACATTAGCATAAGCCATTGCCCATTTTGAGCACTCAGTATATTTCAATTATGCTCAATGGGGGCTTAATGGGCAAAATGTGGATTACGTCACTAAAAGCTCCTTTCCCTCTTAACCATCGAATATATGTGTTCTAATATGTTTCTGTGAATCATAAAATATTGCTTTTCTAGAATTTGGGAATTTTATACTTTTTAAATTAAATGAAGATCACATGATCTCAAAAGCACCCTTTTAATTTGTTTTCTTTTACCTTTCCTCTGGATAGTACTAATCTAAAGCAAATAAGCATGAACATTTTATACTGGTCTTCCTGAATTCAGGCTCTGTTTACCTACACATAGGTTTTAGTTGTTGCTGTTGCTCTTTAAGATTTTTTTTCTATAACTGAGTCTTTAGAATGGTTGGCAGGAGACATGCATTTGAGGTCTAAAATACTTTCAGTCCATCTGTGACCGTATTATGTGGTAATTTTTAAAATTTATTTTATTTTTTTAGAGCTACACAATAGGAAAATGGTAAATTTTGAAAATACAGTGGAACAGCACTGAAGTTGGATTTAAGATAATTAAATTTTAGATTCAAATATGCCATTAATTAGATTTCCCACATGACATCAACTTCATTGGATTTGTTACCCTCTATTACATTGAATTTGGCCCAAAGCTGCCTCTGTGTAGTAGTGAACTACAACCTAACTTAAAATGTAAACATGCTGAAACCTAACTTGAGATTATATTCTTTTAACAAGTATCTGAATCTCAGCCAATCACAGCAGCCAAACTTTCAGCCAATCATAGGCTGCAAATTGCCAAACGTGTCCTAATAAGACAAACTTCAAACTCTAACCAATCATTTTCCTATGTCACTTCTGTTTTCCAGCTATAAATATTCCCCGCCAACTTTGTGAAGGAAAGCTCTCTGAAATGCTTTTTGTCCTGAGGGCTACCATGTTCATAAATCTTTTTGTTTCCTACTCATTTAAACTCAGGTAAATTTAATTTTTCAAAGGTTTTTCTTTTTAAAACCTCTAATGGATAGAAAAAAATACAACCAAAACCAAAAGTTTATAAAACTTCTATTTACAAATATACAGAGAAAGTCAATGAATTCACATTTTGCTGTCACATAATTATTGTAAATATATAAATACCCATGTTCCCATAACCCCATCCACACAGACTTCTTTCTGTTTTTCTGGGAAGAAGCTAATCCTCAGTTTCACTCATCCACTGGCAATGAGGAATCCCTGAAATGTTATTACTGGTCGTTATTGATTGTGCAGTTATTTCATTTTTTAAAAAGTGGGTACCACTAGTGTGTTATATATTTTAAAAATGTTTTTAATAGTTAAATACAATATTGCTCTTTTTCTTAAGTGAAAAACAGATTTATATTTAGATTTCGGATTTTGAGCATGGTATTTGATTTTACTAAATGGAAACAAAAAGCTTTGGACTATCTTCATTTGACGAGGAGAAACAAGAAATACTCTTTCAATTCTGTAACAAGGTTGTAACGGGGTAAATTCTGGTTTTGTTTCCTTACAGGGATTTTTCAGAACATCTTCAATTCTTTGAAACCTTTGTATTCTAACCCTCATATTTGACAAAATGATGCATATAAACTGTGTATTCAAAGAGACAGAGAGGGAGAGAGATCCTTCATGTCAGTTCCAGATTCCCCTCAGGAGCGAAAAGACAAAGGTAAGAATCTCACTGAAGCTTTGTGGTAGTGTAAATTACGCAAGGGGAACACAAAACTAATTTATACCACTTTCCTTTTTTTTCTTTCCCTATATTGTTTGTAAGTTTAATCTGTGCAATAGTCTCTCCTTATCCTTGGTTTTACTTTCTGAGGTTTCAATTACCTGTAATCAACTGTGATCTGAAAATGAAACCAGCCAGTTGTTTCATAAAATTGATATTTATGGTTTCTTTGGAGTAAAACTAGAAATTGACCTTCCCAGTCTTAAAACTTGAGAAACTTACATTTGTCTTACTGAGTTCCTTTCTCAAGAAACCCACCATCAGTCCTTCCAGAAAGTATCACACAACTGAATCTTACCAGATCACCACATCTGAACAGTGGGACGCTAGACCCCTCACCCATCATGATTGCCTAACTGACCAGCTGCTGCCTGTTGACCACCTCCACTTCCTTACCTCTCCCTAATTTCTATTTTCCCATATATAGTTACATTTCTTTCTTGCTATATAACCCCCCAAGTTCAGCTAGTTGAGGAGCTGGATTTCAGACTGATCTCCCGTCTCCTCGGCGCAGCAGCTGAGTAAAGCCTTCTTCCCTGGCAATATGCATTGTCTCAGTGATTGGCTTTTTGCGTTGCAAGCACCAGAACCTAGACCAAAGCCCTGGTATTTCAATAACAAAGAAATTATATTTATATGGTTCAGTATAATCCTCAGTTTCAGTCATCTACTGAGGGTCTTGGACCCTATCCTCCATGGATAAGGGGGGTACTACTGTACTTTGCCTTTTTTTTCCCCCTGCCATGAAATACAGAACTTTGTCAAATATAATTTTTTAAAGGAAAAGACACATCTTAAAGACTTTAAAAAAGTGGGAACATGTATTTGTCCTCTGTTCTAATATTGAACACCAAGTTGAGTATTCTGACTCAAATCTTTTTGGTTCTTCTTTCTTTAGAGGATGTCAATATTCTTTAAACTACAATAGACATTTCCAATACATGCAGTCTTTTTCTCCTAAGTATATATTAAAAAAAGAGATCCCAAAGAATTCTTTTTAATGCACTTCAACAATACAGTCTTTGTAGATAATAACAGTTCTGATGGCAACACGGTGTCTTTTATCTTCAAGAATTCTCAAATGAAATAAAAATACTTTTATTCATTTAAACATGTTTTATACAAGTTCATGTTATTTTTAAAATTTTTGCACCATGGAAAATATTTTTCTCTAAACAAGGATAAAGAGAAAAGTGTTATAGACACACTGAAAGGAGAAATTGAAAATATCATTTACATAATTAATTTTTAAAAAAGAAAACATAAGATGGTACTATTTACTTAAAATAATTTCATCTAAGAATTTTCATAATATTTTTCACCTAACCACTAATATATTAATTATAATTATTCTATAAAAACTCAAATGAAATTATTTAAAAATATAAAAGACAAAGTAAAAATATGTTTAGCATCACATGTGAATGTAAATGAATGGAATGCAATGATTTTTTCCATTGATGTGCCAAGTTAGAGACTTAAAAATATTTATAAATCATAAACCAGTGAGTTTTTTCTGATTAAATAAAATATATAAAGGTTATCATACATGTTAATTATTTTTATATACATAACTGTGATTTTAAATTGCTTGTAAGGCTATGATTATTATTATATCATTTAATTTTGTCAAGATTACATATATTCATGTAATCTTCACAAAGGTATTAATAAACTAAGTGCAAGAAAGCACAAAAATAATTTTATAATCTTCATATCCAAACATAAGTTTGATAAAACTAGGCTTATAATTTTTATTTGCTATATTTTACATGTTTCTTATTTTGACACATATGAAACAGTGCTAATTTACTATTAAATAGCTGTTGAGAGTTTCTTTCTCGATATTATAAGAAATCTTTATATCATTTAAATTATTTATAAGTATTTTTATTGGTCATTTATAATCTATAAGATGACAGGGCCGTAATTCAACTTATTCAATGATTATAAAATATTTAGTATATTTTCTATTTTGACTATTATAGCTAGCACAATGATTATCATCTCTGTTCTTGCATCGTTTTCTATATTTTTCATAATTATCATAATAAATTCAAGGTATTTCTCAGAAGAATGGCAAAAACAAAGTGAATGTAGAATTCTTCATTAATACTGCAATTTTTAGCCAATGCTTTTACTATCAAAAGTGATAAATAAGAGCATATTTTCACTACACCCTTGTCAGTATTGGCGCTTCTTATGTATTTGTTTTATTATTATTGTTGGTGTTTAAACAGATAGAATAAAAATGTCATCCTTAATCATCATTTACTACCTTCTTCATAAGTTTTTTAGTCCTCTCAATCAGTTGCCTTTCTCTTCTCCTTTGGCCAATCTACTGCAAAAGAAATAAAGACTTTTATTATTGATGATACAGTTTAAGGTACAGTCTGATGGGTAGGCTATTTATCTTTATTGACATGTTAATATTTACACTGATCTTGAATTCTGAGCCATACTTACCAGGCTGCCAAAACCATCTAAACCATAAGAAAAATCTGATTTTCAAATTAATAAGGAATTAATCATACCGTATTTGGATATTTAAAAAAATTACTTCTCCTTTTCCTACTTACTATTGACTGATAGCTAAGTAGAAAGTTAAACAAATTGTTCATTATATCCATAAATATATAAAGGAAAAATAGAAACATATTTGTCAGAACAACTAATTAGGACAATTTAAAGTCAGAGATGAGGAAAAAGAGTAAGGAAGAGCTGATATCACCTTCTCTCCAGATCTTCACATAAAGCTTGGTAACAGATTATTGAAGTCTCTAATTCCAATGTCTCCATCACATCTCTGTCTTCTACCTTACTCGACACCATTAACAGTCTATATAATAGGCATTTGTGAGCCATTGAACATTTACAAGTTACAAGGATGATTAAAGCTATTATTCAAGGAGATGAGAGTCCTAACTAGTCACACCCAAGCCCACAATCATCTGATTGGTACTTATATGGATTTTTATTTTTATGTGTATTTTCTCCACTAAATGAATACCATGATAATTAGGCTTATGTCTTTTGCTGTCCATATTCTTCACTTTGCCAGACATATGTCTTGTTTTTTTGTTTTTTGTTTTTCCTTCCTTCTTACGTGCTTTCCTTCCACATTCATATTAAAACCATACCTGGCTTTGAAGGTCTCATACCATTGTCTTCCTGATCCACTTGCCTTTACTTAATGCAGTCTTCCCTTTCCCCATGATTTACTATCATTTCAAATGTATTCATCTCAATTTATAAAACAAGAAATGCATGATAAAATGCTTTGAGGATTATCAGCTCTAGGATCACTTGGATCCTATACAGCAGGTTACCAAAAATGGGTCTCATGGAAGAAATCATGGCTGAAGACTCTTCAACATCACCATTGTACCAGAAGTGGAGGAGAGGGAAAACCTCTCTGAAACAAGGTGGCGAGATATCTGTATGGGAGCTCTGGAAAGTTTATCAGCTGTGCAAGATGTTTACACATTTCTGAATGCAAAAGGTAAAGTTGAAAAAGAGACATAGTTTTGTCTTCTGTCATTCAACAAACATTAGTTAAGCATTCACTATGTGCCAAACAGGTTGTTAGGCTCCAGTTTCTTGGAGGTCAGCAAAATATCTTATATGTATTTTGAGGAGGTAAGCAAGAAAGCAGTAGTAGGACAATTTTAAACAATGGTAAATGATGCATAAAAAATAAAACTGAGTGATGTGTTCGTGTCTGAGATTACATAGTCAGGGAAGATTTCACTGAGGAGGTGACAGTTGAGTTAAGACCCTCATGACAAATAGAGGATAGCCCAAACCAGGACTGAGATTGGAGGAAGAGAGAGGGCAGTGTTTCCAGAAGAGGAAAGTGTATGTGCAAAGGCCTTGGGGTGACAACATGCTTAATGTGTTTGAGGGTATGGAAGGAGAGCATGGGTATTCATGAGCATGCCCTGGAACTTTACAAAATGTCATGTGAGAGGTAGGCTGAGGCTGCATGTTATGAAGTATTCACAGCCATAAGGAAAACTAATTATGTTTTAACTCTAATGACAATGAGAAGCCGCTAGAATATTAAACAAGAGTCTATTGTGACTAGCAGTTTTCTCTTTCTTTTTTTAAAAGTGATTTCTCTCCTCTCATTCTTATTCTCCAAACTTCCCAGCACAGACACAGATACTTTTTGGCAATAGGTGTGACTCATCTTTTTTTTTTTCTCTCTCTCTCTCCCTTTTTCTCTCCTTCTGCATTATGTTTGTGTGTATATACATATGTATAATATTTTATTTATGTCTTATGAGATACTTCCATGAACATGTTGCAGGTTCTACAAATATACAAACTAAAATATTTAAATATGTTCAAGCAGTAAAGTTTAGTTTATAGTCAGCTGAGATAATAATAAAACACCATCTAAATGGTGAGAGATGTTGGTAGAATAAACACCAACACTACAGGTAAAAATTCAAAACAAAGCAAAACAAAAAAAAAGTCCCCAGAAATTGCAATCTATGTCTTTTTCATTGTTGTTTTGTTTTGTTTTGTTAATGCTACAGTTTCAGTTCCTGGGAAAGAAGATTAGGCAGTGACACATTCTCAGCAAGACTCATATGATTCCTTGGGAGTTCTGAAGATGCGATGACGCTTTAGATCTGTGTCACGTTGGAACAAGAGGGTCTGGATTCTGTATCTCCACATGACCTAGTCATTGGATTGAGGCTACTTAGAAAAAGAGATAGACTTCTGGGCAAATCAATTATCGAAGAGGGTTTACAGGTGGGAACTGCCTGTCAGCAACATCAGCTGCAGCTGCGAATACAAGCCCTTCATTCCCGAATGGGGATCTGGGTAATATATCACGGCCTTCATTCTATTCCACTTAATCTTCATATAGTTCTCAAACATTATAACTGATCTCCAAATTATTTTTGAAACTACCTAAGATTTTCCAGGCAGTAAGCATGGAAAATGACCCACCAAAGATGTCCACATCCTAATCCTAGGGACCTATGTTAATTTATATGGCAAAGGGAATTTACAAAAGTAATTAAGCTTAAAGATTATCCTGGATTATAAAGACAAAATTTCTTATATTTGGTTTCTTATATGACTGAAAGTGATACGGGTGACTTGAAATCAGAAAAGGAGATGTAACCACCGAAGCAGAGATGAGAATGATGCTGTTGCTGGCCTTGAAGATGGAAGGAGGCCATGAACCAAGCAATGTAATCAGTCTCCAGAACCTCTAAAGGACAAGGGAATGGATTATTTCCTGGAAGCTCCAGAAGGGAATGCAGCCCAGGCAACACTTTGGTTTTAGCTCTGTGAGACCCACTGTGGACTTTGGAACTCTAAGACAAGACACTTGTATTGACTTAGCCCACCAAATTTGTGGTAATTTCTTACAGCAACAATAGGAACCTAATACACACACCAAGAGTAGCTTTTCATCTTTCAGTACTCTGTTTTTCCATCATGTCCTACTTATTAAACTCTCATGCTTCATTCTTCCCAGTCCAATCTAAATCAACCCTGTTTACTCATGTTAGCAAAACATCAAGCTTCATCCTTGGGCCTTTGAAAAATAGGTGAGGGAAGGATAAGATATTTGGGGTAGTTTTGTCAAAATCTCACAGGTTTTATGCAGGTATCTCACAAATGTGAACAACATCCATAATATATATTGTTGGAGGGGGTGCAAATAAAGTGTTATTTAATACATTCATCCATTCAAGAGGAATTTGTTATATCTATACTATATGCCAGAATCTATACCAGACAAAGAAGATACAAATTAGGCCAAATAGAAATATAATTACAGCTTTAGTATCTATTGGAGAAACCAAGAATCTTTAAATGCCTGTCATAGTACAAGAATAACAAATGTTATATATAGAAGTAGATCATGCTATGAATATCAATAACAAGGGAATTTGTCACAAAAAAGCAGGACAGCTTAAAAGAGGAAGTGAGGATTAAACAAAGACCTGCCAGAAAATGAGGAGTTAGATAGGTAATGAAGTAATAAGAGAGTGTTCCAAGGAAGAGGCATGTTAAAGATTCTGATCTTTATTCTAATGCTAATAAGAAAATACTGATGTCTTTAAAATAGGGAGGGGCATGATTATACATGCATTGTGAGAAGCTCATTCTAGTCTAGCTGGAGGGATCAGAATAATAAGAGACTAATTAGGAAACAATTTTAAAAATCAAAAATTGCATTATAATAGTTGTGCTAGGATGGTGGTGGTATTCAGGAAGATAGGAGGAGGCTAGCGGTTGAATACAGATATTTGCAATCTTTGGTGGTAGAGAGAAGACACCCAGCACTACGCTTGTTCCGTTCCCTCCCTGGGATGCACTTCCCTGTCTTCTTTACCCTCCCCTCATCCATTATGGGCTGACCTGTGCAGATCACATCAATGACTCTCTTGTCTTTTGTTTCTGACTGGGTCCAGTTAATAGAAAGCATCAATAGGAAAACCAAGGATTTAAGACAATCAGGTATGTCTATTTATTCCTCTGATTACCACGCTGCAGGGTCACCTTGGAAGGCTGCATTCTCAACCAAAATTACTGCTCCTCTCAAGGCAGCAGATCTGCAAGACTGTCCATATGGATTCCAGAGACTCTTTTTGTGGTAGAGGTCATAAAGAACCGAGAATACTGTCTTGTTGCTCATGGTAGCCCTGCACCCTGTCCACCCCTTATAAAGACTCCCATGATCAATATATTTTAGAATTATTTTTAATATGAGTGCCATCTGTTTCCAGTTGGTACCCTGACTAATTGAATGGATAAGGGAGATTAAATATCAAGAATGACTCGTAGTGTTCTGGCTATATAAGAGGATTGATTATCGTGTAATTCACTGAAATTAGAAATACAGAAAGATTAACGTTGAAGAGAAACATCATGACTGAATGAATGTATTCTGGAAATGTTGAGTTATGGCTTCCTTTTATACATCCAAGTGGATATGCTTAGTGAACCATTGGTTCACTTATAAGACCAAAGCTAGTCAAGAAAGTAGCATAGGACTTCCTGTTAACTATCAACCATGCCAAAAGAGGTCCAGAAAGGAAATGGAGGCAGAATGCTAGTAGGAAATGGGCTTAAATAACCCAATAAAACAATCTTTGCCTTCAAAGAGGTGATTATTCCTTCTGCTCAACTAAAGTTGAAGCTTTCTGTGGGACAGAAATATGTCTATTTTTTCCTAGTGCTCATCTTTGAATTGTGTACATTTGCTGTATCCATGCAACTTATGACATAGAAGCAATCCCCTAACACCATGTCTGACATAAAGTAGTTGCTCTGTGTCATCTGAATAAATGAATTTTGTACTATGTGTGGATTTTAATTATCCACAATACAAGTGAACATGGAAAACATGGAGAAAGCATTCCAAATAATACCCAACAGACTTAGCAACAACTTTAAATGTGCCTTTGGTGTTCTCTTGGAGAACATTAGCTTGCTTTTTTGCCTACACTGCCATTCCAGTTGGAACAAACACATGAAGGCATTGAATCCTAGTCCAAGGTTTTAGTCCTCAGCTGAAAGTTCTAAGTCTTTAAAGTTCAAATTTCCTAATTTCACGTTAAAAAATTAAATAGCAGAGCCTTGAAGTGACTTGTCCACAGAAATGCAATGAGTTACCAGAAGAGGTAACATTAAGAATGTAAATCTCTGAACATTCAATCTAGGCAATCTTTTCATTTAAATTTATTCCTCTCTTCTTTCTTTTTCTTTTCCTCTTTCTTTTTCTATTCCTCTTTCTTTTTTAGTTATGTAATTTTGTGTTTTCTTTTGATAAAATAGAAAGACCAAAAAGTACAAAAATATATTTAAAATCATCCTTAAACACACTAACAAACTCAACAAATTGTGAAAGGCAGGATAATGCCCCTCCACAAAAGATGTTCATGACATAATCCTAGGGGCCTCTGCATATATTACCTTAGATGGCAGAAAGGACTTTAAAGATGTGATTACAATTAAGGACCTTGAGATAGATAGTGCTGAATTATCAGGATGGGCTCAATAGAATAACAAGCATCATTTAAACTGGGAGAAACATGTGGAAGAGAAGTCAAGGTTAGAGAGAGATTTGAAGATCATAAGATGGTGGCTTTGAAGTTTTCCTTCATGTTCCCATGACCCAGGAAGACAGATGGCCTTTAGAAGCTGAAAAAGATGAAGAAACAGAATTTCCCATAGAGCCCTGAACAGGAAGGTAACCCTGCTGACACCTTGATTTCAGACTCCACACCTCCAGAATGGTCAGACAACTAATCTGAGCTGTTTTATGCCATGAAATCTGTAGTCATTTCTTATGGCAGCAACAAAAAAAAAATATAGTTATCCACAATGTAATCTAATCATACAAATATTTAAAAGTGGAGAAACTTTCCTGGCTGCAGAGAATCAGCGAGATGTTATAAGAAAGAGAAAAAATGCTACTGTTTAATTTCTTGTTGTATAGCTTTCTAGTCTTTTTAAATTAAAAAACATTTTTCAGAACTAGAAATATTTGTTAGTTTTAGTTTTATAAGAATTATTTATATATGTAAACCATTTATGTAACTACTACTTTTGTAATTTTTTAATTTAAATGTTATTATATTTCTAGATTTATACATATTTTAGTTATTTATGCTAACATATAATACATTAAAATAATTTCTTGATTTTTCCAGTAAGTTTATAACCAAACCTAAATATCAAGTAAATACTTCCTTACAGTGAGAAGAAATCTTTATTTGTGTTTTATCCTTTATTTAGTTAATCTTTTAAACCATCTGAAATGTACATAAAAGAGGCAAGATATTTGTTTTTCCAAATTTTCAGAAATATTTTCTTATTGTGTAATCTGTCCTTTATTAATTACAGTGCCACTTTTATAATATATTAAACAGATATACCTGGGTACATTTTGAAGAATTTATATTCTGCTCTATTAATATTTCTTTTTATATTTTGGATAGTGTTACATTATTTGCAAGTACTTATCTTCATTATGCCTTTTTACATTTGCCAATGTAACATTTAGCTTTCATGTTCTTTTTTGTTCAAATTTTTGCTGTTCTCACATCTTTATGAATTTATATATACATGAATATATTATGCAACAGCAATAAAGACTTCAATGTATTATTTTAGAAATAAAAAATGATTTAGCTTAATTTAGAGAATTGCCATTTTAATAATGTGGCATTTTCCTATTCATGAACTAGGAATATTTCTCCATTTATTTGTCTTTTATATCCCTTAATAATGCTTTGTACTTTTTTCAGAAAAAAATTGCATATTCCTTATTGAATTTATCCCAGGATATATTTTATTTTTAGATCTATTATGTATGGTAACTTATCCTCCCTGTTATGATAGTTATTACAGAATATAGACAATGTAATGATACTATATACTGACCAGTTAACAACTCCCCAGTTGAACTCTGTTACTTCTAAAAATGTTCTGTTGAGCATCATGGGTTTTGGCCATTATTCAAATTTTTATGCAAATATGTTCATATGCTTTGCCTGGTTGTAAGCAATTAAATATTTTGAAAATTGTATTTTTGGTGGCAAGAGGACCAGAATACCCTGACCTGTGATATTTGTCAGGCATCCATTGTAAGTATGGAATATTGTTATAGTCAACGAGTAATAAATGTTTGGTATGTGACTAAATATATTCCACAGTTATTTCCAAGGTTATCTTATATGTTTTGGTACTGTAAATCATTTCCAAATTAAAGCAAGTGTTATTTCTGAATGCTAGACTGAATGTGAAGGCAAAATGTTGTCTTATATACAGTAATTTTGATTCACATCAACATATTTTTGCCTGCTGATTCATTTGTCAGTACTGTAATATGAGGTTCAATCAAGCTTAATGCTTGTAGAAGTCATAGAAACTAAAACTAAGCAATAATTTTGTGTCTAAATCTGGAGTCATAAATAGTGCTGAATCTCTTGTCACACTAGTAATGCTAGTATTTTTATTTAAAATGATAGCAGTCTCCTCTAGCTGACTTGTACAATACAGCAATATCAATAAGATAGATTTTTAATTTTTTTGGCAGCACAGATATCATATAATGCGTTACTAGTCTAGTTGCTACCTTAATTTGTTACAACGAGGTTTTAAGTAGGAATTTATACTAAATCACCCACGCACATGTACCTGTATTATTTCATCCACACAAGAATTTTTCACAGTTTCACATACGTGAATTACATACATAATTTCAGCTTGCTTCTTTTCCTATTTTTATTAAACTCAGGTTTTGAAACTGTTGTCTATTACAGTCATATAATCAGGACCATAATATAACATTTATCTGCCAGCTGTGATACTCTTTCTTTATTTACTCAAACACATTGTTTTTGGTCAATGTGGGCTTGGGAACAATGTGATGAACAAGAGAAGGTGATGCTCTTTCTTTGAAATGTTGGTTGGTTGACAACCAAGCTTCTTAGCTTAAAACTGCGTACAAGTTGGCACTATTAATATCAGATAGGGAAGACAAGAGGAGGAACATATGTTTCAGAGTTTCTTTAGTTCCTTTATATTTCTAGATAACTTGCCTTTTTGTTCACATTGTATTATTTCATAGCAAAATGCATGTATGTGAATAAAAATGTTGACTAAATGCAAATCACTTATGACACATTCAGATGATACATTGGTATGCTATGTCCATCTTTGAATGATTGTGAAGAGAAAATGCTAAATACTGGTGGGCTACTCCTTTTTCTGCCTCCTAAACTGATGGCCTCACCTTACTGGTAGGACTAAAGAAAGAAAGAATAGAAAGAAATATTTTCTTATAGTAGTAGCTGACCATAGTTGCTAGAATCCCAATTTAATGCCAGACTTCAAATTCTACTACCATTGGTTTATTTCTGCAGGTCAGTGAGAAAGAAAAAAAAACAAAAAAACAGCTTTGGAGACTCCCAGAACTCTCAAGAACCTATTCTTGGACTTAAATATGTATTCCTACTGCATACTATTCTTATTTTTACTCACTTTTCTAACTTCATCAAGGTTTTCCAACCAGTCATTTTTCTAGCAGGCTGTAGTACATTCCTAGATAATCCCACAATACTTCCTACATCCATGTCAAAATTTAAGCTTGTATATCCATAATATTATAAAGTTATCTTGTTATAATACACACAGTATTTTGTTGTCCTAAGTTGTTAGGTGTCAGAGAAAAATTTCTTTGGTGGTAATTTTAATACTAGTTGGTTAGCTTTTAAATGCAATCAAACCATATTATGTTTATGTGAACATTTTGCCAAGAGTCAGATGTTTACTTTTTGTGAGAGTTTATGGACACAAGTATGTATTGAAATAACCACTTTATTCTTTCTTCTTTGTACTTTTAATTTTGTTTATGTACGAGTGTATGAGTTTGTGTGTGTGCATGTGTGCTAAGACAAATTTTATTCAGTTATGCTTATTTATGAAAGTAGATTCAATGACACTTCTAAAATATGAAGAATTCCAGGACTTTATTTTCACAATTTTTATCCGTTATGCATTTCTTCTATTGTTGCACAAATCAGTCATATGTAAAGAAGAATCTAGAGAGAAGCATGGGAAATTTTGATATGTATATTTGACCTGTCTCGAGCATCATTTCAGATTTTCTCATCCAACTCCTATCTTTCTTTCCTCTCCCTATCCTTCTCTCCCTCTTTCCTCTCTCTCTCAGGACTCTACACTCACACAGCACCTACATTCATTGGAAAGGCATCAGGGCATGGGATTTGTCCTCCTGATAAGCTGTTGAGTGGTTAGAGGCTATAACCTAGAGGAGTACAAATTTTAGTATCCGGTGGCATGAGATATTGAGCAATAGAAAGCAGGAAATAAAATGAAGCTTGCCAGATTGAATCATATTTCTTTCTACCATATTTGGATTACTCTAAGATGGTACTGTTTCATGCAACTCTTTCGGGTGGTGTCCCAGGTGCTGAGCAAAAATGCCTACTACGTGCCTGTGCTCAGAGTTGGCTGGTGTGATGATGCATCCTATACCATCACATTTGCATCTTGCCTTGCCTTGGTTCCCTTTTCAAATTTATCTTTACTGCCCTGGAATTTCACCACTGAAACACAGGGATAGCATTTTAATATTTGTCCAAGCCCTCTTCTTGGAAAGCTGAGTCTGATCAATGAAAGAGAAATACATAGAACAGAGGAAACAAGGTTTTCAGAAAAAGGTGCAGTGCTACGGTAATGATGTGGCAGGGCAAGAATCGATAAAACCTAAATGACTAGGATGCAAAGGCCAGATGCAATAAACAAGACACTAGGATCAAAGGAAGGATCATAGGGAATAGGCAGGAGGAAACTGAAGGATAGAGAAGAGCCTGGAGACCGGGGCTTTGAGAAAAAATGGAAAGGACTTTAAACATATCATTTGGATTGAGAGGTTTGGAAAGAAAAGCTGATGGAAATCAGACTGAAGCTAACTACATTATGATCAGTGGGTTGGAGTAGAGGATAAATTACTGAGGACAGAGAAAGCAGAACTGTCAGATGGGAAACAATATAAATGTTTGAGGATAAGGTATAAAAGCTTCAGGTGAGAGTTGCTGAGAAGTAGATATATAGAAGCAAGGACAGGAAAAGTATCATACCTAAGACATGTTAGGTGAACAGAGTTAAAAAAGTAATAATAATGACAGCAAGGAAAAGAGGAGGAAAAGAAGAGGGAGAGGAGGAAGACAAGAAAGAAGAGAAAGCAAATGAGGAGAAAGAGAAGGAGAAGGAAATATTGCAGGTTTTTTTTCTTTCTGAAAGTCTGACCTCTCCTTTGAAAATTGGAAAAGCTTTTATGACTTTCCGTTGGAATAATAGCCCTCAGTCTCTTGTCTTCCAAACTTAATTTTTTTAATTGTATAAGTTAAGCTACACTCTTTTTGTATGTCCATCTTTCTTTCCCCTAGAAAAGCTATGCTCTATTAAATATATGGATGACACACTGTGGATTTGGTTCTTCTGGCTACCTCCAGGGCCACATTATACATTATGATAATTTTGAAACCCAGCTTCTGACAATTAGTCAAGTAAATACATCCGGTCTCTATATTTGTTTTTGTAGGTTCTCTTGTTCTATTGGAGTAGGTCATGACAGTTTTCTGATAACACTTCTATTTTTCATCCTTGGCCTCGGAAGAGTCTACCTCTAAGTTTTTCAATGATGCTGACACTTCAGTCTGTTGCTGATCACATAGGTAAAGTATCTTCTAGGACTTTAATTCAGGAATCTGATGGGATTCCTTCCTTTATGTAGTATGTACTCTCTAGCATATGTACTTCTCTGAGTCTTTTTTGTCTTTTATTTTCTGTCACAGCAGTTCTGGCGGTCCTTTTCTGTAAGCTAATAAGACGTATCCTAGGAGGCTGTTAGGACCACCTTCCAGTGCCTTTGCCAGCATGTTCAACCCTGTATCATGGAAAAGTTTTCCCATCTCGCTAATGATATTTTATCTTAACTGGAATCCTCAGGATCTCATACCCAATCATTTTTTTTAGTCTTGGACAGTACATGTTGGGGCGGGGGGCGGTCCTGAAGAAATAGTGCATTTCTTCCTCAGTTATGTTGAGACTTAAGCTTAGTTAGTTGTCCTGTGGCCTGGGCGGATAGCAGTGGTAGATCCTAAGGGAATATATGTCACTGTGTGTGGCAGAAGGTGCTTTATAATAAAAAAGCAAAACCAGGAAGTAGGGGCTTCAAGATTTACAGCTAGAAGACCTCCATAGACCCAGAGGGTTCTGTGAAGTCTGGGGATTTTAAGACCTTTGGGTGCATTGATTGCATGGATTTGTGTATCCCCTTCTCAGCCTCAGAATGTCAATTCTTCCTTATCAGGGCTCTGACTTTGGCATAGCAAACCTGCTGGGATTGAGAATTCAGCCTTCTCTGCAGCTCTACTAATCCTATCATTAAGTTTTCTACCTGATTCTCAACTTTCATGAGACTCTGGCTGCAGGAAAGGAGAGTGTCTTTGTATGAAACCAAAGAAGTCCTCTGGAATTTACACTTAACCTTTATTTGTTGAATTTTCACCAACAATCTTTCATTGTTCTTCACCAATTAATTGACTACTTCCAGAAATTTTCACCGAATTTATTCATTCTTAAATTACTGTTTTCCTTCTACTTCTACAACATCTGAATCATTGCATTTACCACTATATTTCCTTCTACTGGCAATCCATCTGAATGTGACCTGGTGAATGTTTTGATGGGTTTGCTGCTCCCACATGACGGTACTCCTTCCACCTTCTAGCAAGGATTGGAGTTTGGAGTGTCAGCCTGCCAGCCAGGGAGCCATCTTCAACATTTCATTTTAGACACTGCTTCTCAAACCCTATGCAAATGTCAGGTATGAGAAAACAGGTTCTAAGACAAATATTTATATGGAGAAATTTTATTGGTGAATGGCTTTAGCATCAACATCTGTGGTGAGGTGAAGGAAAGAGGACTGTAGAGGGAAAAGCTGTACTCTTATTGAAATGCTAAAAGAAACACTTCATCTAAACCCGTAAGGAGCTCAAAAGCTGGGGAAACTTTTCAAAGTATCCGAAATGCAGAGATGCTATTCAAGCCTTTATATTCTTGCATTGAGTAATTATTTCATATGTGTTGCCTTTGAAGGAAGCATAGACTTGGGGTAAAGTGGCTCTCCTTGACCACTGGAAATTTCTAGAGAGTGATTTAAGCAATGTATTTCAGTCATCAATAATCCAGAAGTTTGTGAGACTGAGTGATTTTGCCCTGAGAAAGTGGATCTGGGAAATATCTTCATTTATATATTCAAGAAATAAGGCAAATTCATTAAAATAAATGTTTAAGGTAAAGCCAATATCACAAAATATCTCTGCTTTTTTTGTTGCTGTTGAGCTGCAGTTTTTTCTTTCAGATTTTTACCAGCCTGAGTGGAGAGATGATGCTGATCAATAAAAAGATTAATATTATCCATAATTATAAAAACAAATCAGTGGCCAGCTCTCCTGGACGTTAGGACCCAAGAAAAGTTTTTTTCTGAGCTCTCATAAGTAGGACACTATGCAATTAATGTACAATATTTTAAATAACATCTTTATGATAAGCAATATGGAGTTTCATGTAAGCATATCTATAATATTTCACAATAAGAATCAGTATCTCAACTCATTCTCAAATTCATTAAAAGTCTTCAATCGGTATAAGCTATAATGAGAGCATGATCCTCAAATGACCTGGTTTTAGCTATTGATAAATTTTTGAGTACCTCAAACTGTGCATCCATCCAGTATTTCTCTCCAAGTATTGTTCCTCTCATCATAGCCTACTTTTAAATACTCCGTAAACTAGGATAAACTTCATTGTTTTAAGAACAGAATTTCTGGTGAGTTTCCTTGTCAATCCAAATTAGGTACTCTTTTTCTTTTTCATACAGGCAGTATTGACTATATTTGTCACCAAGTAAAATGAAAAAGAAAATAAATTTCTATGAGAATATAAACAAGTACGTGCCCATAGACTCATGAATGCAAATACACACATAATGAGTTTACCTTAAAATCTCACATGTAACAAGTATTTACAAACTTACTGGGGTCAGGGAGAAGAGTAGACCATGTCAAACATTGGTCTGTGTCAATAATGTTTCTGATCCAAGAATTATTTTTCCACAATATATTAAAACTTGCAAAAAGAAACCTTATTTTATTTATAGGAACACAAAGAGATATTTATTTGAGAATACCAAGTCATACTTCACTAGCTAAAAATAAACATCCATTATATAAACTTTAAATTTAAGTTAAAAATAAAATCAATGTAAATAAAGTATCATGTGTCCTTTTTTGCTTTTGCACACAGAAAACTTAGCTCTAGTCAGTAGCTCTTAGCTCTTCAAGGTATGTAACCACATCTTCCTTAATTGTTGCAGGAGTGTTTTGATGTATCTGATTTCTTTGATGCTGGTACCAGATTAGATTTTACATAATTTCAAAAGTAGTTGGGAAAAGTTCCATCAGATAGAGCAAACTGGATTTACCATTTGGTCTGAAAAAAACAAAACAGACAAACAAAATAATACTTTTCTTGTATGCTTAATGAATAAACTTTATTGTTAGAACAGTATCAGGTTCACAGCAAAATTGAATAGAAAATACAAAGAGTTCCCATATACCTCCTGTCCTCCCCTATGCACATTACCTCCTCTACCATCCACATCCTACACCACAGTGGTACACTTATTACAATAGATGAACCTACATTGACATTATTATCACCCAAAGTCCATAGCTTACATTTAAAGTTCACCCTTGGAGTTGTATATTCTATGGGTTTGGACAACTTTATTATTTCATACATCTACCATTATAGTATCCTAAATAATATTTTCCCTGACCTAATGGTTAGGGAATTTCCTGTCTTCTACGTATTCATCCCTCCCTCCCTCCTAACCCCTTGCCAACCACTGATCTTTCTACTACTTCATAGTTTTGCCTTCTCCAGAATGTTACATATTGGAATCATACAGTATATAGCCTTTTCATATTGCTTTTTTCAAGTAGTAGCAGGCATTTAAGTTTCCTCCATGTCTTTTCATGTTTTGCTAGCCCTATTTTTCTTTCCCCTCCCCTTTATTAAGGGTTTAATACTATTCTATTGTCTGTATGTGCCAAGTTTATTTATCCATTTACCTACTGAAGGTTATGTTGGTTGCTTTCAAGTTTGGGCCATCACGAATAAAGCTGCTACAAACATCCATGTATAAGTTTTATGTGAACGTAAGTTTTGAATTCATTTGTAAGAACACCAAGGAACATAATTTGGGGTTTTCCAGCTACCTTTCTACTGCTGATGTCTAGCTTAATTCCATTGTGGTCTGAGAGCAGACACCATGTGATTTCTATTATTTTAAACATTTAATAAGATGTGTTTTATGGCCCAGAAAGTGGTGTATTTTAGTGACTAGTTCATGTAAACTTAAGAAGAATGTTATTCTGCTGTTGTTGGATGAAGTAGTCTATAGATGTCAATAATATCCCATTGATTAATAGCACTGTTGAGTTCAACTGTGTCCTTACTGATTTACTGCCTAGAGGATCTGTCCACCTCTGATAGAGAGGTATTAAAGTCCTCAATTATAATAGTAGATTTATCTATTTCTCTTTGAAGTTTTATACATGTTTGCCTTACAGATTTTGATCTTTTATTATTAGGCACACACATTTTTTTATGTCTTCTTGAAATATTAACCCCTTTATTATTATATGATGCTCATCTTTATTCCTGATAACTTTTCTTGCTCTGAAGTTTGCTATGTATAAAATTAATATAGCTACTTCCATTTTCTTTTGATCAGTGTCACCATAGTATTTCTTTCTCCCTCTATTTAATTTAAGCTACATGTCTTTATATTGAAAGTGGCTATTTTGTAGACAATATAGATTTGAGTTTTGTTTTGCCTTATTCTAACAATCTCTTTTTTAATTGGAATATCTAAACCATTAAATTTTTAAAGTGATTATTGATATAGTTGGATTATGTTACTGTTTTCTATTTGTTGATCTTGTTTTTGTTTTTGTCTTTTGTGGTTTTAATTGGGCACTCTATATCCTTTTATTTTCCCTCCTTTCTTGGCATACCAACTATACTTTTTTGTTTTTTTTAGTTTTTGCACTACAGCTTGCATATTTTTAACTAATCTAAGTCCACTTCCAAGTAATACTACAGTAGTCCCCCCTCATTAGCAGGGGATATGTTTCAATACCCATAGGTATTGCCTGAAATCACAGATAGTACCAAACCCTATATCAACTATGTGCAGCAGTCGATCCAGTAACTGAGACAGAGTCTAAGGGAAAATAAGTGGCTGGTTAGGTGCCTGACAGCATGGATGTGCTAGATGTAGGGATAGTTCACATCCAGAGCAGCAAAGAGTAGTATGGTGGAAGATTTCATCATACTACTCAGAATAGAACGCAATTAAAAACTGATGAACTGTTTACTTTTGGAATTCTCCTTTTAATATTTCCAGGTGGTGAATGACAGCAGGTAACTAATATGGTGTCCGAAATTGGTGGGTTCGTGGTCTCACTGACTTCAAGGATGAAGCCACGGACCCTCGCGGTGAGCGTTACAGTTCTTAAAAATGGTGTGTCCAGAGTTTGTTCCTTCTGATGTTCGGACGTGTTCAGAGTTTCTTCCTTCTGGTGGGTTCGTGGTCTCGCTGTCTTCAGGAGTGAAGCTGCAGACCTTCGCGGTAAGTGTTATAGCACTTAAGGCGGCTCCTCTGGAGTGGTTCGTTCCTCCAGTCTGGAGTTCTTCATTCTTCTCAGTGGGTTCGTGGTCTCGCTGGCCTCTGGAGTGAAGCTGCAGACCTTCGAGGTGAGTGTCACAGCTCATAAAGGCAATGTGGACCCGAAGAGTTAGCAGCAGCAAGAAGAGTTAGCAGCAGCAAGATTTATTGCAAAGAGCTAAAGAACAAAGTTTCCACAGTGTGGAAAGGGACCCGAGGTGGTGTCCACCGTTGGCTGGGGCAGCCGGCCTTTACTCCCTATTCCCACCCACATCCTGCTGATTGGCCCATTTTACAGAGAGCTGATTGGTCTGTTTTGACACGGTCCTGATTGGTGCATGTACAATTCCTGAGCTAGACACAGAGTGCTGATTGGTGTATTTACAATCCTTTAGCTAGAGGTAAAAGTTCTCCAAGTCCCCACAAGATTAGCAAGACACAGAGCACTGATTGGTGAATTTACAAACCTCGTGCTAGACACAGAATGCTGATTGGTGTGTTTACAAACCTTGAGCTAGACACAGCGCACCGATTGGTGCATTTACAATCGTTTAGCTAGACATTAAAGTTCTCCAAGTCCCCACCAGATTAGCTAGATACAGAGTGCTGATTGGTGCGTATACAATCCTCCAGCTAGACACAAAAGTTCTCCAAGTTCCCAACCGCCTCAGGAGCCCAGCTGGCTTTGCCTAGTGGATCCCATGCTGGGGCTGCGGGTGGAGCTGCCCCTCCAGCACAGCGCCCGGCACTCCTCAGCCCTTGGGCGGTCGATGGGACCCGGCGCCACGGAGCAGGGGAGGGCGCCCGTTGGGGAGGCTCAGGCGTGCGGGAGCCGGTGGGGGAGGGGCGGGGAAGGGGGAAGGGGAGCGCAGGGGTGGTGGCTTGAGCATGGCGGGCTGCAGGTCTGGAGCCCTGCCCCATAGGTAGGCGGCGGAGGCCCCGCGAGAATTCCAGCGTATTGTGGGCGGGCCCACACTGCGGGAGAGACCCAGCGCACTCTCCGCAGCTGCTGGCCCGAGTGCTGAGCCCCTCACTGCTGGGGCCGGCGGCGCTGCCGGCCACTCGGAGTGCGGGGCCTGCTGAGCCCGCGCCCACCCAGAACTCGCTGGCCTGCGAGTGCAGCGCGCAGCCCCTGTTCCCGCCCGCGCGTCTCCCTCCACATCTCCGGGCAAGCAAAGGGAGCCGGCTCCAGCCTCGGCCAGCCCAGAGAGTGCCTCCCACAGTGCAG
Source organism: Homo sapiens (assembly GCF_000001405.40). Lineage (NCBI taxonomy): Eukaryota > Metazoa > Chordata > Mammalia > Primates > Hominidae > Homo > Homo sapiens. The sequence goes on from NC_000016.10 coordinate 61,129,238, forward strand.
CGGCGGGCTGAAGGGCTGGCTTCTCAAGCGTGGCCAGAGTGGACGCCGAGGCTGAGGAGGCGCCCAGAGTGAGCAAGGGCTGATAGCACGTTGTCACCTCAATACCACAGAAATTGAAAACAGAGATAAAAGGAGACTACTGTATATCAGTTCAAGGTCAGTGTAATTACAATAACAAAATATTCTTATTTCCTTTCTCTAATCCCTTACATAATTGATTCATTGGTATCACTGATTTTATTTTTACATAAGAAAATATATGCATAAGCTTATATACACATACATAATTGAACACATTGTTTCTACTATAATTTGAATATGATCTAGTAGATAAACAAGAAAAAATATGTAAGATTTTATTTTACCTTCAGGCGTTCATTCTCCAATGCCCTTCCTTTCTTTATATAGATCTTATTTTCTGACCTATGTCATTTTTCTTCTCTCTGAAAAATTCCTTTCAACATTTCTAGCAAGGCACATTTACCAGCAACAGATTCCCTCATATTTTTGTTTTTATGAGAAAGTCTTCATTTCTCCTTTACTTGTGATGGATAGTTTTGCAGACAAAATTTTAGTCTTGTGGGTTTTATTTTTATTATTGTTGTTCTTCTTTTTCTCTATGCTTTAATTAATTCTCTCTAATCTCATTTTGTTTGCATGGTTTGGGAGGATAGGTAAGATGTAATTTTTATCTTTGTCCCTCTTCAGATAAGATTTTTTTTTCCCTCCTCTGGCTTCTTTCAAAATTTTGTTTTGTTTTTCATTAATATGATATGACTACTTGTAGGTTGTTTGTTTTGCATTTATCTCATTTGGTGTTCTCTGAGATTTCTGAATGTGTGGTAGTTGACATTAATTTGGGGAAATTCATATTTACTTCAAATATTGCTTCCATTTATCTCTTCCTGTCTTCCTCTTCTGGTATTCCAATTATGTGTTAGGGTTTTCACAGCTACACTTTTTGTAGTTGGCCCACAGTTCTTGGATATACTGTTCTGCATTTTCCAGTCTTTTTTTTTTATCTTTGTTTTTCAATTTTGGATATTTCTATTGTCATATTCTCAATCTCAGAGATTTTTTTCATCAGCCATACGCTGTCTTCTAATTAGCTCATCAAAGGCATTCTTTGTTTCTATTACAATATTTTTGGTCCCTAGCATCTCTTTTATTTCATCTCCCTGCATACATTTTCCACCTGTTTTTTCATGTTGTCTACTTTTTCCATTCGAGCATTTAGCATTTTAATTACAGTTTTAAATTTCTGGCCTAATAATTCCAACATCATGGCCATTTCTTATTCTGGCTTTGATTCTTCTTCAGTTTTTTCAAACTGTGTTTTTTTGCCTTTTATTAAGCCTTGTAATTTTTTCTTAAAATCTGAACATAATAGACTACATGAAAGAAATTTGAAAATAACCCTTTAATAATGTGGCATAAGGTATGGAAAGAGAAAAAGTGTTCTATATCCCTATAATTAGGTCTGAACTTTTCAATGAGCCAGTGTCCCTGGATTGTGAATGTTAATAGTGCTCCTCAGTCACCACCTCCCTTTAGATGGCACAGAATGGCTAAAAGGGGCTGGAGTTGGGTATTATATTTACAACACATGGAGGGCTAGAGCCTGCTGTAGCTGGCTATTTCCCTTCACTCAGGTAGGTTAGGCTCTGATAAAACCCTAGCAGGTTGGACTCTGGAAAATAATTTCTCCTGAGGCCAGAGCTTGTTAAAAAGAACAGAATGCTCAGAAATATTTCAACATGATTAATTTCCCTTTCTCCTGTTGAAAACATGACTTTTTTTTTCATATTAATTGTGAGGACCTAGTAGAGCTCCCGCAGGTAAAAACTTAAGAAAGTGTGGGACCTCTCTGTGACTAGGGCTCCTTGGAGGTTTAACTCACATTTGTCGACATCGATCCCCTAGAAATTTGTTCATTACAGTTAGACATTCCCAGCTGTTTCCCATGGAACTTTCTGCTCATGGATTTCTGCTTCAGTAAGTTATGATTGTCTGTATCGGCACATACCTCTATCTAACAGTGGTTTGTCTTATGACCTTACTTCTCTAATGGATGTAAGGAAAGTTGCTACTTTTAAAAAAATTGTTAAGCATTTTCCTTGTTGGTAGGTTGGAGTGGTGACTTCTAAGTGCCTTTCCAGACCAGAAACTGGAAGCGCAATTATTAGAACAAACATTTCAATAAACTGGATACCAGGCAATAAAGGACTGTAATCCCTGAGAGACAAGAAACAATCAAATTGTGCTCTATGATTGCCCCAGCTTGCTGTTTTAAGAGAGTTTACAGGCACTAGCAAAGAGGAGAAACCCATGCAGATCTCAGTGGACTCCCTGAGGTGAGAGGACACAGCTGAGAATTCAGAGTGATCAGAGTAGCTAGAGTTTTCAGGACTAGTAGGTAGGAGAGAGCTGTGCACACATATACAGAGAGAGAACTCTTTAAGAACTGCAGAGGAGTGTTAGGAAGTATTCAGCTGAGTTCAAGGGAATGCATATGAGGCAACTACCTAAGGCTAAGAAAGAATCACCACCTGAAAGGATTAGAGGCAAAAATGCCAGGTACTCCAACAGGACCAAGATTAGTTCCTGTTTCCACCAGCTAAATTCGACAAACTCATGATTCGTATGTCACTAGATAGAGTATGAAAAGGATCTTGCCTAATTAGTGTGAAATAATTCATCCTAGACTGAATGCTGTATTGGTTCTGGCTAACATATCTTAAAAGCAGACACACAGATATCAAGCTGTTTCCAAGTGACTTAACTGAATCCCCGAAGCTTAGAATATTTATTGTAATAAAAAATATTCAGCACTCAACAAGGCAAAACGTATAGTGCCTGGCATCCTTTCAAAAATTATCAGGCTTGAAAGAAGTAGTAAAATATGACTAATTATGAGGGGAAAATGTCAAGTAATCAAAATCAACCAGAGCTCTCAAAATGTTAGAATTAACAGACCAAAACATTAAAATAGTTATTCCAACTGCATCCCATAAGCTCAAAAAGTTAAGTAGAGATATGGGATATATAGATAGATAATAGCCACCTAGCTAGATATATAGCTACATAGCAAGCTACACAGATATAGATATGCCAACTTAAAGTTCTAGATAAGAGACCCACAATGTCTGTGAGGAAATACTCATTGGGTGGGAAGAAATGATGATTAGACATTGCAAAAGAAAAGCTTAGTGCATTTGAAAACATATTAATGAAAAGAATATTAAATTAAAACACAAAGTAAAATAAAATTTTAAAAGTGGAAGACAGAAAAATGTTTGAAGAAAGAATGGTAATTTTTAAAATTTGAAACTATAAAGTCATAGATCATGGAAGCTTAAAGAACATGAGGCATAATAAACATGAAAAAATTATATAGGACTGTCATAATCAAAATGTTCAAAAGCAATAAAGAAGAGAAAAGCTTAATGTGAGCCAGAGAAAAAAAAGATGTTATATGCAAAAGAGCAAAGATGAGGAAAACAGATTTCTTTTTAGAAACAAAGACAAGTGAAAAGATAGTGTAACATCTTTAAAGTACTGAAGTCTTTGCTTTTAAAATCAGGAACAAGACAAGGATGTCTGCTCTCATCACTTCTATTCAATTTGTACTAGATGTTCTAACTTGAACAATGAGGTACAAAAAAGAAGTAAAAAAGATATCTAAATGGGAAAGAGTGAATAAACTGTCTCAATTTTCAGACCTCATGATTATGTATGCAGAGAATTCAGTTAGATCTACCAAAAAGCTACTACAGCAAATGAGTGAGTACAGCAAAGTTTCAAGATACAAGATGCATAAGTGAAATCAATTGCATTTCTACCTATTAATAATGAATATTGCAAATTAAATTTATAAATACCATTCAAAAAGGCATACAAATATATCATATAAGGTTGATTTTGACAAAAGATTTGAAAGTTCTTTATATATGTACACCAAAAATCTATGCAATATTGCTGAGAGAAATTAAAGACCTAAAATTACATATAAATATATATCATATGCATATACACACACACATACATGCACAGTATACATTTATATAGTATTCTTAAGCTGGAAGACTTAATAGTGTCGAGATATACTTCTAAAATTAATCTACAAATTAAATAAAATTCTAATCAAAATCCAAACAGTCATTTTTTTGTAGACATCAATAAACTGATTATAAAATTAATATGGAAATTTGATGGACCTAGAATAGCCAAAACATTTTTGAAAAAAAAATCAAAGTTGTAGAGTTAATACTACCTGATTTCACATGTCGTTATAAGGCAACAATACTAAGAAAATGTGGTATTGTAGCAAATATAGATAAAAGATCAATGGAACGCAATGGAGACCCTCAAATAATATTATGCATACATATGAAGAACTAATTTTTTTGATATAAGTGTAAAGGCAATTCAGTAGAGAAAGGATTGCTTTTGTAACAATTTGTCCTGTAAAATGGGGAATTATATATATAGACATTCCAAAAGAAAAGACTAGTGCACTTGAAGACATATTAATAAAGGCAATTTGAAATTAAAACACAAAGTAAAAGGAAATTTAAAAAGTAGAAGAGACAGAAAGATATTTGAAGAAATAATTTTTTTATTTGAAGCAAAATATAAAGCTGTAGATTATTGAGGCTTAAAGAATATGAAGCACAATAAACATGAAAAAAATTATATAGGATTGTCATAATCAAAATATTCAAAAGTAGCAAGATATATAGGTGACTTTATTAAATTCTTTGGATTCTGTACAATTAACTCAAAATGGATTGTAGACTTAAACATAAAACCTAAAACAACTATAAAATTTCTGTTAGAAAGTATAGGTGAAAAATCATGACCTTGAGGTAGACAATGATTTCTTAGACATAAAACTACAAAAATAGTCCATGCACATGTATACCTATGTAACAAACCTGCATGTTCTGAGCATGTATCCCAGAACTTAAAGTAAAAAAAACAAATAGTCCATGAAAGGACAAATTGATAAAATGGACTCCATCAATATTAACAGCTTATCATCATTGAAAGACCCAGGTGAGACAAGAAAAGGCAAGCCATAGACTGAATGAAAATTTTGCAAAAATAATTATCTGGTAAAGGACTTATTTCCAGAATATGTATAGTACATTTAAAAACTCCATAAGAAAAACAACTCAATTAAAAATGGACGAAGTATAGGAACAGACACTTTACCAAAGAAAATACATGGATAGGACATAAGCACATGAAAAGATGCTTAGCATCACTGATCTTTAGGGAAATACAATTTGAAATCATAATGACATACCACTGCACACCTATCAGAATATCCAGAAAATGAAAACTGACCATATCAAGTTTTGGTGAGGATGTAGAGAAACTGAAATTCTGGTACACTACTGGAAGGAATGTAAAGTGGAAGAATCAATTTAGAAAATATTTCAGCAGTTTTTTAAAAAGTTATGCATACACCTACCAGATAATCCATCTATTTCACTCCTAGATACAGTTTACCCTTGAACAATGCTGGGCTAAATGGTGCCAACACCCTAAGCAGTCGAAAATTCATATATAATCTTTGACTCCCCCCAGAAACTTAACTATTAAAAGCCTACTGATAACTGAAAGCCTTATCAATAAGATAAGTGGTAAATTAACACATATTTTGTAAGTTATATATATGGTATACCATATATATATATGGTATATATATATGGTGTATATATATGATATATATATACACCATATATATATACCATATATATACCATATAATACTATATACTATATATACTATATATATGGTACAGTATATATGTACATATGTGTGTATATATACCATATATATACACCATATATATACGGTATACCATATGTATACACCATATATATACGGTATACCATATGTATACACCATATATATACCATATATATATGGTATACCACATATATATACCATATATATATGGTATACCACATATATATATATATACTGTACTCTTACAATAAACTAAGCTAGAGAAAAGAGCATGTTATTAAGGAAATAATAAGGAAGAGAAAATCTATTTCCTATTCATCAGGTAAAAGTTGTAAAGGTCTTCATCTTTGTCATCTTCACTTTGACTAGGCTGAGTAGGCTGAAAAAGAGGAGAGAGGGAAAGGAGGAAGAGAAGGGATTAGTCTTGCTGTCTCAGAGATAGCAGAGGCAGAAGAAAATCAATGTATAAGTAAACCTGCACCTTTCAAACTCATGCTGTTCAAGGGTCAACTGTATTTACCTAAGAGAAACCAAGGCACATGTTTATACAAAGAATTGCATAAGAATGATTGTAGTGGCTTTATTTGTAAAAGCCCCAAAGTGGAAGCAATATCAACAGGTGAATGGACAACCTCTGGTGGATCTACGCAATGAGACACTATTCAGCAATACAAATGGACAGACTATTGATATATACTGCAAGACAAATTCATCCAGAATAATTATGCCAAGTGAAAGAAGCCAGACCAGTAAAAGTACATACATGATTGTTCTATTTATATTAAATTATAGAAAGTGAAAACTAATCCTTTGTGATAGAAAACAAGTAAGTGGGAAGGATGAAGAGGAGGAATTAGCGAGCTGAGCTTAAAGTGGATTACAAAGAGGCACCATCAAACTTTTGGAGTAATCAAAATGTTCATTATCTGAATTTGGTGATGGTTTCATGGGTATATACATAAGGCAAACTTATTAAATGCCTTAAATGTGTGCAGGCTGGAAATGCAGCACCCTGGAAATCTGGAAGAATTGATGTTGCAGATTTGTTTTCACGTATCAGTTGTATCATAATAACAATGTTAAAATATTTAAAAAGAGATGAGCATGTAAGCCGTTTATAACAATAAATTTGAAAATATGAATTAAAAATTTTCTATAAAAAAGATAATTTTAGTTACAGTGAAAATAACTGAGTTGTCAGTTTCTAACATGCACACACACACGTAAACTTTTATACAGATTTATGATAGGAAAGACAAACACTGTTTAATTGCTATTTTCTCCTTTTATAGATCAAGGAAACGGCAGAAGAAATAATATAGTGATGCAAATAGAGAAGTTAAAAATAATAAATAAATATATAAACAGCTTATTTTTTGTGATTTTTCCCATCTTGATCATAGTCCTAGGGAGAGTGGATTGGCCTTCCTCTTTTGATTCATTATTTATTTGAGCATTTTATAATAGGTTTCTTCTTTTCCTTTATTCTTTTTCAGATTATTTTCTATGTCTGTTACATAGAAACATTTTTTAAGAAACATTTTTTAAGCTGACTGCACCAGGGGAAAAAAAAAAACAATAATAACAGCAACAACAACAACGCTTTCCTGAGATGCTTACTTGGGGTCTTTCAGCTCTGGTTCATCAATAAATGGAAGCACTTTTCTAAGGCAGAAAATAGAATAATAGGAAAAATGTTTCTGAATCAATGATGAAAATATGAAAGGAAACATATTCAAAATTCAGTTTGAAAAGTGTAAGTTGGAAAAACCAGATTTGTGTTTTTCTTATGCTAATCGGCATCTCTGTTTTGATATTTACCTGTATGTTAAACATAAGTATCTAGAATCTTGAACTTATCTTTTTCTCAACCTTCTCTATTAATAATACCTTATCTACTTAAGCAACCAATGACAAAATATTTAGATCATCATTTCTCTCCCTATGTACTCACCTAGAAATAATTGATCCTGTCTTCAAAGTACTTATAATAAATGTATTAAAGAGGTAAACTTGTGGAAAGTGATCAAAATATAACTTTAATTTTGTATTGTACTACTCTTTAAAATGTATTCGTTACTGAAAAAAATCCCCTCTGTTATTGCATAAAATCTCTATGGCAGATTCCGTAATTTCTCTGCTTGCTTTAGATAATAAAATATCTTATGTTCAATTTTTGCCGTAAACACCTTCATTGAGAAGTCATCAAATCCTACATTGATTAACATTTTAATATTCTATTAAGATCAAGGTTTCTCCCATCTCTATGACTAGGACTGGCTTTGAATTTGGCACCTTCTTCTAGACAAAAGAGTGTAGCCAACTAGTTCTCTCTCATTCATTTCTTCTCTCAGTAGCTCATGGCTCTCAGTGACCTCTTAAGTACTGACACATGCAAGAAAAAAAAGAAGAGAAAAACACGGCTTTACTGACAAGATACTGTTTATATTACTCAGTGTTCTCCAGAGAAAGAGGACCTCTAAGATAGATAGATAGATAGATATACACACATACACGTATGTGTGTGTATGTAGATATATGTGTGTATATATGTGTATATGTCCATAAATATATATGTGTGTGTCCACACACGCACACATGCATATGTACAGTTGACAACATGGGTTTGAACTGTGTTAGTCTACTCATACGTGGATTTTCCTCCACCTCAGACAACCTTGAGATAACAAGACCCCTCCTCTTCCTACTCCTCAGCCTCCTCAAATATGACAATGAGGATAGAAACATTTATGATTTATCTGCTTTCACTTAATGAATAGTAAATATATTTTCTCTTTCTTATAATTTTCTTTTCTCTAGCTTAGTTTATTGTTAGAATGCCATATACAATACATATAACATACAAAATATATGTTAATATACTATTTGTGTTTTCAATAAGGCTTTGGGTCATCAGTAGGCTATCAGTAGTTGAGTTTAGGGGCATTCAAAAGTTATACACAGATTGTTTGACTGCATGGGCATCACCACCTCCAACGTGTGCATTGTTCAAGGGTCAACTGTATATACATATAAGGAATTGGCTTACATGACTGTGGAGACTGGGAAGTCCAAAATCTGCAGTGTAGTTTATCAGGCTATAAATCCAGAAGACTTGATGTTGCAGATTTGTTTTGAAGGTAGTCTCTGGAAAATTTCCTTTTGCTCAGAAAGGCCAGTCTTTTTGTTCTATTCAGGCCTTCAACTTACTAATGCCCATGCACATTATGGAGGGGAATCTGCTTTGATGTGCATTAATTTAAATGTTAATCATCAAAAAAACCACCAAAGTTGACACATAAAATTAACCATCACACCATTATAAAGGGACGTTACTCCCATTGAGCTTAGCAGATACTTAAAACTGATGTCTTATTTAATGACTTCTGTGGAGCCTTCCTGTGATAACTGATGTACTGTGTCCCTTTGCCTACATCTACTCATTCAGTCCCTAGATGTCTACAGATCCTCTTTGTTCTTTCTTGGCTGTATTCCATTGTCCTTCCCACATGTGCAATGGGGCAGGAGTCAAGCAGTACTAGGGTACCTACCTTGTGACTCATTTCTGCACCCCCCCAAAAGTCAAATATCCTGATATCCTGTGTCCTTGTCTCATATATTCAAAAACACTTGTAATCTAATAATTAAGTGAAGTTTCTAATAAAAGATGTTCATTTAAAAAGTATAAAAGAAGCAAGGAAGGTACAATGATAAGTAAAAGAAAGGAACAAAAACAGAAGTATGAGCTGAGTTCTGGCTTCAAGGTATCTAGAATACATTATTTAGAAAGAAATAGATGGGTAATAATCATATGTTATTAGTGTAAATAACTTTGCAAGACCATCACCAAATAAGTTATTGCATACTCTCTGTGTACAAGAATATGAACAATTTTCCACCCAGCCGGCAAAAACAATATTAGAGAATAAATAGCTTAACTTTTAAGAAATGTTACAATTACTCAATTGTAGTGTAGTAAAATAAATGTGCTGTTTTAGTTCTAACATAAGCATCAGGGCTATCCTGAAATTACAGCAAGATCAAAAACATAAATCTGCATAATGTTCCTAGTGTCTAGTCGTGTGAATTTACTACAGTGATACTAGCAGAATTGGAAAAAATAAAATCAAGTATCAGAAACCTATTTAAACTCCCATCCCTGTCACATTTTGGAACAAGAAAAAAAAAGGTATCAATCAGTATCTGTATCTCAGATGACTTTTATACTTTGCAGTCTTATGGAATAGTATGGTTTTTTTCCACTGTGTTTTATAAGGTGATTTCCCTGAATGATACAACGTAATGTTTTCAATCTAAAATGAAAATCTTGAATCAAAGGCTGCAAGAAACACACACACACGTGCACACACACACATGTGCACACATTTCCCAAATGACAACATTGGATATAGGACAAAATGATGTTCATTTATTGATATAACATAAAACAATATTTTTTGTAATTTTTAATTTTGGTGGGTACATATTAAGTGCATATATTTGTAGGTACATGAAATATTTTGACACAGGCATACAATGTGAAATAATCACACCAGGGTAAATAAGGAATCCATTCCCTCAGGCATTTATCCTTTGTGTTACAAACAATCCAATTATATTCTTTCAGTTGTTTTTAAATGCACGGTTAAATTGTTACTATTGTCACCCTGCTATACTGTCAAATACTGAACTTTATTTATTATTTGTAACTATTTTTGTCCCCATTAACCATTCCCACTTTCCCACTATCCCTCCATTACCCTTCTCAGCCTCTGGTAACTATCATTCTACTCTCTATCTCCATTAATTCATTTAATTTTTAGCTCCCACAAGTAAGTGAGAATATGCAAAATTTGTCCTTTTGTGCATGACTTACTTCATTTGATATAATGACCTCCTGTTCCATCCATGTTGTTGCAAATGTTAGGATCTCATTCCTTTTTTATTATTATTATTTTTATTATACTTTAAGTTCTAGGGTACATATGTTATATATGTATACATATGCCATGTTGGTGTGCTGCACCCATTAACTCGTCATTTACATTAGGTATATCTCCTAATGCTATCCCTACACCCTCTCCCCACCCCACAACAGGCCCTGGTATGTGATGTTCCCCTTCCTGTGTCCATGTGTTCTCATTGTTCAATTCCCACCTATGAGTGAGAACATGTGGTGTTTGGTTTTTTGTCCTTGCAATAGTTTGCTGAGAATGATGGTTTCCAGCTTCATCCATGTCCCTACAGAGGACATGAACGCATCCTTTTTTATGGCTGCATAGTATTCCATGGTGTATATGTGCCACATTTTCTTAATCCAGTCTATCATTGTTGACATTTGGGTTGGTTCCAAGTCTTTGCTATTGTGAATGGTACCGCAGTAAACATACATGTGCATATAGCTGAATAGTACTTCGTTGCATATATGTGCCACAGTTTCTTTATCCATTCCTCTGTTGGACACTTAGGTTGCTTTCAAATCTTGACTATTGTAACTCGTGCTGCAATAATCATGGGAGTCAAGATATCTCTTTGAAAACTGATTTCCTTTCTTTTGGATATATACCCAGCAGTGGGATTACTGGATCATATGGCAGGTCTGTTTTTAGTATTTGAGGAAACTCCAAACTATTCTTCATAGTGGTTATACTAATTGACATTTCTGTCAACAGTGTGCAAGGGTTCCTTTTTCTCCAGATCCTTGCTAGCGTTGGTTATATAGTCTTTTAGATAAAAGCCATTGTATCTGGGGTGACATGATAGATACCTCAAGTTGTGATTTGTATTTCTCTGATGGCCAGTGATGTTGAGCACCTTTCCATATACCTACTTGCAACTTGTAGTCTTCCTTTGGGAAATATATATTTAGGTCTTTAGCCCACTTTTTAATTAGATTATTAGATTTAGTCCTATGGAGTGGTTTAAGCTCCTTATATATTATGATTATTAATCTCTTGTGAGATGGATAGTTTGCAAATATTTTCTCCCATTCTATGGATTGTCTCTTCACATTGTTGATTGTTTTCTTTGCTGTGAAGAAGCTTGTTAACTTATGTGATCCCATTTGTTCATTTTTGTTTTGGGCACCTGTGTTATGGGGTATTATTCAATAAATCTTTGCCTGGTTTAATGCCCTAGGATGTTCCTCCAATGTTTTCTTTTAGTAGTTTCATTGTTTGAGGTCTTAGGTTTAAGTCTTTAATCCATTTTGATTTCATTTTTGTATAGATGAGAGATAGGGGTCTAGTTTTATTCTTTTGTATATGAATATCCAGTTTATTTTCAGCACCAGTTGTTGAAGAGGCTGACCTTTCCTCAATGTATGTTCGTGGCATCTTTGTCAAAAATCAGTTTATTGTACATACATGGATTTGTTTCTGGGTACTCTAATCTGTTCAATTGGTCTATGTATCTGTTTTTATGCCACTAACATACTGTTCAGTTTACTATAGCTCTGTAATACAATTTGAAGTCAGATAATGTGATTTCTCCAGTTTTGTTCTTTTTGCTCAGGACAGCTTTGGCTATTGTGGGTCGTTTGTGGGTCCATACAAATTTTAGGATTGTTTTTTCTATTTCTGAATAGAAATACTATTGGTATTTTGATATGGATTGCATTGAATCTGTTGAATGCTTTGGATAATATAGACATTTTAACAATATTAATTATTTCAATCCGTGAACATGGAATATCTTCCCATTTTTTCTGTCCTCTTCTGTTTCTTTCAATTTTTTATAGTTTTCATTGTAGAGATCTTTCCATTTTTTGCTTAATTTCTATGCATTTCATTTTATTTGTAGCCATTATAAATGGGATTACTTTTTTCATTGCTTTTTCAGATTGTTTCCTGCTGGCATATAGAAATGCTACTTTTTTTTTTTTAAACTTAGTATCCTACAAATTTACTATATTTGTTTATCACCTTTAATAGTTTTTTGGTGAATCTTTAGGTTTTTCCAAATATAAGATGATGTTATCTGGGAGCTAGGGCCTAGAATGGGTGCCTCAGGACCCAGCCTGATGCCCTATCCTATTGTGGATGAGCTGGCATCCAATTTCGAGACAAAGTCCTCTTTACTCTTCCCTCTCCTCTCCTCCATTTGAAAGAAGGAGTCTCTTTTGAAACTCTGAGCTGTGCGAAAGGAGTGGCACAAGCACTCTCTTGGCCATCGTGGCTAGTGTTTCACTAGGTCATATGCTCCCCATGTCCACTGGCTCCCAGAACAACATAGCACTAGGAGTTGCCTAGGAGTTACAGTCCTTGTGGCCTAGACTGCCTTTCAAGTTTATTTATGAGCCCGGAGCCCTTTAGCCCACAGTGTCAAGGTTTGTCAAAACTCAACTTCTAATTGCTGGGATATACAATGGCTAAGGTTGATCTAAATGCTCTCTTCATGGGCACTGGCTGAGTTCTGCCTGTTGTTTCTTTCCATTGTAACAGGTCAGCACTGAGTTTCAATGCGAAGTCCCACAATCTCTGCACTCTCCCTCCCCCATGCCAACAGATTCTCCCTGTCACGTGGCCACTGCTGGGGAATGGAGGAGGGGTGACATTGGCAATTCAAGACTGTCTTTCCTACTCTCTTTAGTGTTTCTTTCAATGATATGAAGTTAAAGCCAGGTACTGTGATCACTCATCTGATTTTTCATTTTTGGAAATGTGCTTTCTTGTGTAGATAGTGTGTTCCTGCAGGGAGGATGATCAGTGGAAATTTCTATTCAGCCATTTTGCTCTTCCTCCTCCAACGACATTTTAATTTGATGTTTTTGAACTGTGCATTCGAGCAGTGACTATTACCTAGTGTCAGTAAGCTAAATGTTTTACATACGTCATATCATTTAATTGTTGTAAGCATCCAGTGAGGTAGGTGCAAAGATTGGACTCCATAGGAAGCAGACTGTGAGATGGAGATTAGCTTGCAGAATGCTATTAAAGAAACCTTAAGGTTAAAACCCCTAGGAAGGAGATGAAGAAGATGGTATTGGCAGAGAGATAAGTTGAGGTGTGATACAGGCCTAACCTACAACAGAACTAGAACTACAGCCAACCTTACCAAGGGCTCTAGAGTTATAATGACTTTTCATATTTTTCCTTATTTAGGCTAAGATTGGCAAGTCTTTATATCATGTGTCAGTTATTGGGTGGGAGTCAGCTCTGAAAGGGTTATGAACTTGCCAAGACCTTTGATTCTCAATGGCTGAGGCAATCCCTGAAGCTACTGATGGTTGATAGCCATCAGCAGACAGCAGCCCCAGCAGTAGGAACAAAAGTTTTCAATTGGTTGAGGTCTTCATGGTAAAACAGGGTAAACTCAGAGTACAATCACAGTCCTCCCTTTGGTCATTTGAAACTACTTTTTAATATAAATTCTAGGATCAGGACTTCTAGAAGTCTGGTGGACCTATCTTACTAGGGTAAACTTAGAAGAGAAAGGTTTTTGGATTGACCAGAATTACTGAGTGTGATCTTTGAGCCACAGATAATTATTGCCATCTCTCTTCCCCACTATTGATATGAGATTTTCTTCACCCTTCTCTAGCACCTCTTCTCTGCTCAGTGGCTTGATCCAGTGGCATGGCCACACCTTTATCAATCATCAAAGTCAGGGATTCTTGCCTTTGTTTATTTCTATCAAAATTAAGTAAGGGACTATCAAAACACACCCAATTGGATTACCTGGCTGTCAAACATATTCCTCTCTTCTTCCATTTGTAACATCAGCCCTACCCCCTCCTGATAATGGGAGTTAAATGCAATTCCCCAAGTGGTAAGTTCCATTCTTGCTGGCTAGTTCCTTAGAACAAGGAACTATTAGTTTGCTAGAGATGCAGCAACAAAGTAGCACAAAATGGGTGTTTGAAATAATGGAAATTTATTGTCTAAATTCTAGAAGTTAGAATTTCAAGATCAAGGTGCTAGCAGTATTAGCTTACTCTAAAACTAGTGGTGAAGAATTTGTTCTATGCCTTTCCCTTACCTTCTCGTGGTTTATTGGTCATCCTTGACATTCCATGGCTTGTAGATGCATCACCCAGATCTTTGTCTTCATTTTCAAATGTCCCTTCTGTTTGCATATATGTGTCCAAATTTCCCCTGTTTAGAAGGACACTGGTTGTATTGGATTAGGGCCCACCCCAGTGATCTCATATTAACTTGATTTTCTCTGGAAAAACAAAACCAAACCTATCTCCAAGTAAAGTCACATTCTAAGATACCAGGGGTTAGGAGCTCAACATACTAATTTGAGAAGGGACTTAAACACATAATAGAGTCCAAAGTGCTCAGGGAGTATTCATATGAGGCTCTCTATCTTGTGGTATTATCTCAATGGGAACTCCAAAACGGCAGAACCTAGATTTTAAGAGACAGAAAATATGTATTCCACAAATGGGTCACTGGAAATGATAATAAATGGGGTCACTTGCTTCAATCCCTCAGTTTCAGGACCCATGCATTTTTCTTAATATTGACAGAACATCATATAAAGGGATTTGCTTCATAGTTTATATTGCATCCTGGAGAATGATTGTATTCTCTTGAAGTACTGCCTCTAAGCTCTCTATCTGTACTTTACAGCCCATTCTAAGGCTGGCTGCTTATGGATGGTGAGGCATGTGATTCAGTGAACCCTAGGCAGAATTTCTCACTCTCATACCATGTTTTTCTGTTAAGTGATTCCCCTGTTACGTGGCTTCCCTGTCAAGTCACATTCTGTGCTGTGAATCAAGCACTCTGTAATACATGCATATTGGTGCTTTCTGAGGTTCTTTAGGAAGGAAGGAAAAACTAATACCTAGACAATGAGTCTATTCCTGTAAATAGAAGGTAAAAACATAACAAAACATTGTCAACCACAAAAATAGAAAACAGCAACAAAACTGACTCTCCCAGGTAGAATAAATTCAGTGTACTAAACTAGTTGACAGTGGCTGAATGAGGGGTGGTGCAATATTAAAGACTCCATGCTGTCCTTTGGGTTCACAGTTTGGATATTAGGTGGCAGCAGTAGGTAGATTATCCCTGGCATTGGATCCTCCATTACTTCCACTTTGGCTATGATGTTTATGAATTAATTGTGCCAGTTTAGGGTTGGATTACACAAGACCCTGGCTAATTTCAATAGGCTGAGTCATTTATATTTGGTTGTTTAATTTTTTTTCCATGGCATGTGCTCTCTGAAGGTGATTAACATGTAATGTGAAGTTCTTCATAATTTGTGCCCACTAATTTACCCATTCACAAGTTGCTACTCTAGTTCTCTGTGTTCCAAATTTCCAATATTATTCTTCAAGGAACCTGACCAAACAACTAAGCCTTTTGCCATTGCCCATGAGTTCATATATTTCTTGAACTCGAGTTCATTCTCGTTAAAGGTAAAGAAGGTAACCCAAGTGCCCTTAGAGAAAATTGTTTCTTGTCACTGGTGCATCTGCCTTCCATTTATGGCTTCTATCCATGTACCAGGCTGACCAGTTAATTCATTAACAAAGTTTGGAGTTCTTTTTCTTATCAACTAGTCATAATGAATCCACATGCACCCATAAGTTTGAGCTGAAAGAGAGAGGTACTGACACTATAGCAGTAGATGACCTAGGAGTTTGAATTACCTGATTGTTCAGCTTTCTTGTTCCCCTAGCCCTACTTGTACTTGATTCATCTTTCAATGAGTTGTTGCTGGGTCCACCCAACCTCATGATCTGACATTTGATAGAACCCAGCTAATGAAAGGCAATTTTAGCTTCATGGTTACTTGACATTCCGTGGTTGGGTATTCCATCTCTACCAGGACTGCTGAGAGTTATTTGTTAAAATGTGTTTAAATCTCAGATAGAGATGGCATCATTTTAATAGAAACCCCTAAGGTTCTCTGTTGTGATTGTCTTACTGGGGCTTACTATAAACTACATACCACATATTTTCCCACCACTGATACCTAATACTGTAGAGTTTGATGGATTATCTAGTCAAAGTGGCAGGATGACTTGTTCCAAAGACTAGATGGTTTGATCTTTTTCCTGCTCTTGTCTCCATTCCAAACATTTAGAACATCCCACTCTCTTTACATTTAATTCAAGTAGATTGTCCTGGTTCATTTGGGGAAGTACTGTGGGGATCAATATTGTGTAACTTATTAACATTCTGTAGATCAGCTCCACCCTTCCATGGCCAACTGGATCTTACCATGTATTATTATAATTGGTCTCACCTAAATTCTGAAGCTGCCTGAACTTTTTGGGGGGGATCCTATTATGCCTGATGGTATCAGAGTCCCTCATTTTATAATGGCCCTTCCTACCATGTTTTTTTTTTTTTTTCCAAAGGTATGTTGTCTCAACTGCTAATAAGATTTGACAATGGGACGTTATTCCGCAGGGCATCTGTGCTCTACCAACAACCAGTGATACATTTCTTATTGCCAGATACATGGTAAATTATTCACCTTCTGATTTTGCCTTGTCACCTTCTGAATCAGACCATGTCTAATACCAACTGTCACATATTTGGTTCTTTAAAAAGCAGCCTCTGAGTTAAATTTGTCATGCAATATGGTCATTAATGAGTGCTCTAAGGATCAGCACCTGTGGAAAGGAGGGGACGAGAAAACAGAAGCAAAGGCACAGGAAGTCAAGTTTCAATGCAAACACAATAATAGCTTCAGCTTACCCAACAGGAGTTCCTGAGTCATAAGAGTCTCTAGAGCTTTCCCATTTGGGCCAAGATTTGGTCTGGTGTTTATCTGCAGAGGCTGCACATTTAATCTCTGTGCAATAAATCTCTAACATACATGTAATTTCTTTAAATCATCTTAAAATGTTCTGCCTACTTTAAATTACTTATTACTATTATATTTAGGTTTAAATAATTAGTCATTCCTTGGTGATAATTATTGTGTTTAAAGAAATGTTTGTTGTTAATAAGCTTGTTTACTTTTTTTAATTATTCTTTTATTTTAGGTTCAGGGGTACATGTGCAGGTTTGTTACATGAATAAATTGTATGTTGTAGGGATTTGGTGTACAGATTGTTTCCTCACCCAGGTAATAAGCACAGTACCCAACAAGTAGCTTTTTGATCCTTTACCTCTTCCCACACTCCACTCTCGAGTAGGCCATGGTGTCTACCATTCTCTTCTTTATGTCTGTGTGTACTCAATGTTTAGCTCCTATTTAGCAGTATTTTGTTTTCTGTGCCTGCCTTAATTCACTTAGGATAATTGCCTCCAGCCCTATCCATGTTGCTGCAAAGTACATAATTTTATTCTTTTATATGACTGAATGGTATTCCATGATGTATATGTACCAAATTTTCTTTATCCCATCCACTGTTGATGAGCACCTAGGTTGAGTTTATGTCATTACTATTGTGAATGGCACTGCAATGAACATACAAGTCATGTGTCTTCTTGACAGAACAATTTATTTTCTTTTGTATATATACCCAGTAATGGATTTCTATCTCCAAACTGCTTTCCACAGTTCACAGTGGCTGAACTAATTCACATTCCCACCAACGGTGTGTAAGCATTTCCTTTTCTCTACAACCTAGCCCGCATCTGTTATTTTTTGACTTTTTAATAATAGTCATTCTTACTGGTGTGAGATGGCATTTCATCGTGGTTTTGATTTGCATTTCTGTAATCATTAGTGGTGCTGAGCATTTTTTCATATGCTTGTTGAGTGTCTATGTGGTTTGTTTTTTGTTTATTTTTATTTTTTTGAGAAGTCTCTTGTTCATGTCCTTAAGAAAATTTTTAATGTGGTTGGTTGTTTCTGATTGTTAATTTAAGTTCCCTAAGGATGCTGGATATTAGACCTTTGTCAGATGCATAGTTTGCAAATATTTTTTCCTATTCTGTAGGTTGTCTGTTTACTCTATTGATAGTCTGTTTTGCTATGCAAAATCTCTTTAGTTTAATTATATTCCACTTGTCCATTTTTGTTGCAATTGCTTTTGGAGTGTTCCTCATGAAATCTTTGCCAGGGTCAATGTTCAGATAGTATTTCCTATTTTTAGGTTTTACTTTTAAGTCTTTAATTCATATTGAGTTTATATTTTTTACATGGTGAATAATAGGGGTCCTGTTTCATTCTTCTGCGTATGTCTAGCCAGTTATCTCAGCACCATTTATTAATAAGTTACTTTTTCATTGCTTGTTATTGTCAGCTTTGTTGAAGAGCAGATAGTTGTAGGTGTGTGGCATTATTTCTGGGCTATCTATTCTGTTCCATTGGTCTATGTGTCTATTTTGGTACCAGTACCATGTTGTTTTGGTTACTGTAAACTTGTAATATAGTTTGAAGTTAGGTAGTGTCATGCCTCTGGCTTTGTTGTTTTGTGTAGTATTGCTTTGGCAATTTGAGCTCTTTTACAGTTCTGTATAAATTTTGGAATAGTTTCTTGCCCTTCCTCCATTTCAGGGATTCAATGAGTAACAGATTTGGTCTCTACATAATCCCGTATTTCTTGGAGGTTTTGTTCATTGTTTAAAATTCTTGTTTTCTTCATTTTCGTCTGAATTAATTCATTCAAACTCTGAGATTCCATCCTCAGCTTAGTTTATTCTGTTGTTAGTACTTCCAATTATATTATAAAATTATTGTAGTGAGGTTTTTAGTGCTAACAGATCACTTTGTTTCATTCTTAAAGTGGCTATTTAGTCATTCAGCTCTTGAATCATTTCATCAATTTCCTTATATTCCTTGGATTTAGTTTTAACTTTCTCCTGAATCTTGATTATCTTCATTGTCAAAATTCCTGTCAGTCTTTTCAGCCATTTCAGTCTGGTGAAGAACCATTGCTGGGGAGCTAGCGAGGTTGTTGAGAAGTAAGAAGACACTCTGGCTTTTAGAGTTGCTAGAGTTCTTGCACTGGTTCTTTCTTACCTTTGTGGGCTGATGTTCCTTTTACTGTGGCCTAATTTGAGTATGATCAGTTGGCTTCATTTCTGGATGTTTTCAGAGGGCCAAGGTTTTGTGCAGTGTCTCTATTTGTGACTGAATTCTTACCCTTGATTTCACAAAGGGATATATTAGCAAAGTATTTTTGGTGGTGTAGTTTGGGCTGAGATCCGGTAGATGGTGCTTAAGAGTAATGGCTGGTAGATAGGCTCTTAATCAGCCACGTGACTCCCTTGTGTTTCTTCACCTTTGGAAGCCATGCTCCCTTTCAGTTCTCTGAGGGTGTGGGTTCTTCTCCGACTCAAGTTCTGGTCAAAGATCATGGCTTGGCACTACCAGGCTGCACACTGCATCCCTGGAGCAAGTTCAGGCTTTTTGTTCCCTCCCTAGCTTGGGAACAGCATGGGCAGAGACATTGGCAGTGGCAATGACACAGGGCCTGGCACTTGCCTCTAGGAGCTCCACCCCAGAGAAACACAGAGCCACTGCTAACTGGAATGATCAGCTGTGGGTGGAGTGGCTGTGTTGTAGGCTCAAGGTGGGGTCCCTGCCTAGTGAAAAGCAGGTGGCTCAGGAGGAAGAGTCTGACCTCCTCTCTGTAGGGCAGCTGTGGCATGCTAGAAGTGTAAAACACCCAAGCTCTTTTTTCTTTCCCCAGCCTAGTGGCAGCAAGGGCAGGTACCATAGCCATGGTAGTGGTACAGGGACTGTAATTTGTGCTGGGAGCTCTACCCCGGAGAAATGCAGAGCCACTACCAATGGAATGTTCAGCCAGCGGTGTGGTGGTTGTGCTGCAGGCTCAAGCCGGACCCTGCCTGATGAAGAGCAGCAAGTAGTGGGGCTCAGGGAAAAGACAGTTTTGCCTCCTCTCTGTAGGGTGGTTGTGGCATGCTGGAGGTGTGAGGAGAGCAATCAGCGTCTTTGTTTTCTCCCTAGCCCGGGGGCAGCAAGGGCAGGTATCACTGTAGCAGCAATAGCAGAGAGCCTGTCAGTTATCTCCAGGAACCTCGCCCTAGAGAAATGCAGAGCTGCCACCCACTGAAGTGAACAGACAGGGGTAGGGTGGCTGCACTTGGGGCCCCGGATGGGAGGCCCTTCCCTGTGAGGATGACTAGCAGGGACAGGGAACAGTGTGGAAAATATTCTGGTCACTTTTCCTTCTGGTAGCTGCGGTTTGCACTGTAGGCCTGAGACAGTTCTTGGGCTCTTTGATCCCTCTGCAGCCTGAGGACAGTAGGGGACAAGAGGAGTGGAGGGGATGAGGAGGGGAGATGTCACTGCAGCAGCAATTATAGCAGGCCTATCAGTTACCTCTTGGATCTCTGCCCCAGAAAAACAAACAGCCATGACCAGCAAGCATTTAGGTGGTTCAGGCTGGCTCCGCTGGGGTCCCAGGCCAGTGGGCTTTGCCTGATGAGGTACAGCAGAGGCAAGGCCTGCAGTTCATCTTCTCCTCAGCACTGTGGATGTGGCCCCTATCCTGGGGGCATGTAAGAGAGTCCTTCCTCCCTAGTTGATGTGGTTATGGCAGCTGACACCAAGGTTCTCAGGGATTCAAGGATCTTGGGGCTCCATGGGGGCCTGAGCAGCAGCTTTGGAGGCTCAGTCTCGATGGAAGCTATGGGGGACGGGGGCTCAGAGAGGATCTCCCATGCCCAGGATCGCAAAGGTCAATGGCAGAAGTGTGGGGCCCTGGGGACTCTTGATCACTCACTATTTCCCTGCAGTGGGGCCTCCCTTGGTTTTGGACCAATCCCTGGTGGACGGCTGTTTTGCCCTGCTCCTCTCTGCTCTCCTTGTTTCATCATTTGCTTCCTTGATGCAAATTCATCATTGCTTCCTTGATGAATCCCAATGTGCCCTCCTGGACAATCCACTTGAAGACCTGTTTTTATTCACCACTCTATGTCCTCTCCATGATAGCTGCACAAACTAGCTACTTTTAGTCAACCATCTTGGTGCCAAGTCCCATAAATTTTTTAAAATAACTTCGGGCTCTATTCTTTTAGAAACAGATAGGATTATAAAACAATACTTGTAAATATTTACATATTTATTATTTACTATTCAATAAGATATAATATGCTGTTATCAATTATAATTTTTTTAATGAACAACTAATTAAGCCTTTAATCATCAGCCATCCATTTTTTTCCTCTACTGCACATTGATTTGGTTATTCTTCAACATTTATGAACTTATCTACATGGACCGTAATAGTAAAAATGAGCCTCACCAGTTTTTTTACTTTAAGTGTTACACTTTCAATCCTGCACGTTTGAGTGCTTACTAGAAAATATTTTTAGTGCTTGCTGTGCATCAATACCTTTGCCCATCACTGATGATCCAAAGCTGAAGAGAGCAAATTCTAGTCCTTGATACTAATAATGTTATTATATTCTGGGGGAGAAACAGTTGAGTAACTCATTGATAATAATGCTCTGTGATCACTGTTATGGTTTAATAATATTCATTCCAGATAATTAAATATATATTAAATATTTAAATTTATAATAAATAGATGTTTTATATAAGTATGTAAAGTTATATGTATTTATGCATGTAAAACATGTATAATTATATGTAACCCTATATAATTAAATATATGTATTTAATATCTATATCTAATTATAGACATATATTTCATTTATAGTTCCTTAATTCAAAGTGACATAGGGGGTAACTCCATCTTTGAAGCAAGTTCACTGTGCACTGGTTGCCAACTTATCTGAGTCTAGTGATAGAGAACACATAGGCAGCAAGTTACATGAAACAAATTTATTTCTTCCAGATACACAGCAAGAGACAATAGAAGCAGAGGATTCAGGGCGAGCTGTTTCTCCAAGGCTAGGGAAGCTACTTGAGGCATTTGGAGACTTGATTGAATGTGCCTTACTTGGATCACAGATGAGGGACCTGAAAGTGCAGCCTACCTTGGGCTGTATACCTCAGGCGAAACATGAAACACTGGACCAAACACTGAAGGACATTCTGTTGCTAGAGGGCCCTGAAGCAGAGCTAGGGCTGTTCCAGCGAGTTACCCTCCTATCTCAAGACATTACATTCTCAGTGCTTTCTACATTTATCCTTGAGAATTACAAGTGAGAAAGAGGAGAGAATGAGTCTGTTCAAGGCCTCCTGGAGAAGTTTCCTGAACCATCTGATTTGCTTAAAATAAAGATTCTCTAATCTTTAAATATTTGATCAATTGTTCTAAAATTATGTTTCTTTTATATGATTTTGGAGGCTGTGTGTATTTGTCTTAGTGTTTATTAAGAAGAAAATCAGAAAATTGGGTATCATTTTAATTCCCACATTTGCCTACCTTTCAACAATGTTGAAGTGCTAATAAATATACTATTATATATATGTATATATACATATGTAATGCTAAATGAAGGAGAAATTTTTTATACAAATGTAGTTTCTTTAAAAAATGAAAAATGCAGACTTTTTTCCAAACTCAAAAAAAGTAATTTCTCAGATTTAAATATCCAGGTATTCAGTATTACTATTTTATTGCTCAACTGTTTATTTTTATTAATGTATTTGACTATGAAATATCTGTGTAGATTGAAGAAAAATAATAATAATGCAACTGTTTTAATATGTATTTTAAACTTCAACAGAACATTATAGGAAAATCAATGCAATATGGAACTAAGAATTAAGACTTGTTTCTATGTATATTTAAGTCACTTATTTGTAGACATAAAAAATACAATTTTTATAACTATGATTGGAATTGAATCAGGTCTCACAAACTTTACCATAAAGATATCTAGAGAATGTCAGGTTTAGAGTGGTTTAGAGACCAAATTATACAACTCTACTTGGTTCTAAATTAGAACCTGAATTGCCAACAAGGCTTTTACTAATGTAAAATAAAGACTCTATGGGGAACAAAATGAAAGATCAGTGATTTTATCTTGATTAGCAAATCTTCAGACTGTCACCTAGAAGTGTGTTGGATAGCGTCAAAATACCCAGAACTAAACAATTTTGACTAGAACAAACAAACAAAAATCTCTGCAAAATTGTTTATTTTGACTGACTTTATAGTTATATAGGAATCTCAATTGGATTAAACATGTGCTTTTTTCTGAAACCAAATTTAAGTTTGGCTCTTAAATATTAATTATGATATCTATCTTAGCACTTATATTAACACTTAAGAAGAAATTAGTTTCTGGAGCATAATCAGTGAAAAATGATGGAGAATGCGTTTTAAATTGAAATACAATGTGCTCCTCTAGGAATAAACATTCCCATTTCTTTAAAAGATAAGACATTTTCCGGTTTCAAATTCTCCAGCTCAGTTAATGGTTTCTACTTTGTACATGCAATCTCAATTCTCATCAGTTAAATTTTCATATCTCTGAAATCTACTCATTCTTTGCTATAGCCCTTTTCTTGATTCAGACCCTCATAAATTCTCCCTTGGATTGCTGCAATAGCCTCTGAACTGATCTCCCTGACTCTTTTGGCCCCTACATCTGTAGGTACTCCACATGGCAGTACATATCAGACCATACACTGCTATGCATGATGCCTTTCAGAAACTTCTATGATCTAAAGGTTAACATCCTGATATTTGTATGTAACTTATTTCATAATCTGTTGCATTTCCAATAACTTTTCTATATGAGTCCTAAAGTGGAGCCACTCACAGCCTGAGTTCTTATCCCCTTTCCCCACTCATCAGTGATGTGATTTTGAAAAAGTTACCTAATATGTTTGTGCCTCAGTTTTCTCATTTGTGAAATGGTTATAAAATGTTTTTGACACACAGTATTTTGGGGGAAGATTAAATAAATACTACCACAACTTACATAATGATAATGATAACAGTAAAAAATATTTAGTAAGCAATGACTTAACTGCTTGGTACAGTTCAAAGCATTTTATATGCCTTTATGTGGAGTTCCTCAAGTATTCATTTGTCTCTCTCAAATCTTAATACCTTTCTACAGGTTGTATTTTCTCTATGAGGTGATTTTTCTTTTTTTTTTTAATTATACTTTAAGTTCTAGGGTACATGTGCACAACGTGCAGGTTTGTTACATATGTATACATGTGCCGTGTTGCTGTGCTGCACCCATTAATTCGTCATTTACATTAGGTATATCTCCTAATGCTATCCCTCCCCCTTCCCCCTACCCCATGACAGGCCCCAGTGTGTGACATTCCCCTTCCTGTATCCAAGTGTTCTCATTGTTCAATTCCCACCTATGAGTGAGAACATGCGGTGTTTGGTTTTTTGACCTTGTGATAGTTTGCTGAGAATGATGGTTTCCAGCTTCATCCATGTCCCTACAAAGGACATGAATGCATCCTTTTTTATGGCTGCATAGTATTCCATGGTGCATATGTGCCACATTTTCTTAATCCAGTCCGTCACTGACGGACATTTGGGCTGGTTCCAAGTCTTTGCTATTGTGAATAGTGCCGCAATAAACATACGTGTGCATGTGTCTTTATAGCAGCATGTTTATAATCCTTTGGGTATATACCCAGTAATGGGATGGCTGGGTCAAATGGTATTTCTAGTTCTAGATCCTTGAGGAATCACCACACTGTCTTCCACAATGGTTGAACTAGTTTACAGTCCCACCAACAGTGTAAAAGTGTTCCTGTTTCTCCACATCCTCTCCAGCACCTGTTGTTTCCTGACTTTTTAATGAGCGCCATTCTAACTGGTGTGAGATTGTATCTCATTGTGGTTTTGATTTGCATTTCTCTGATGGCCAGTGATGATGAGCATTTTTTCATGTGTCTGTTGGCTGCATAAATGTCTTCTTTTGAGAAGTGTCTGTTCATATCCTTTACCCACTTTTTGATGGGCTTGCTTGTTTTCTTCTTGTAAATTTGTTTGAGTTCTTTGTAGATTCTGGATATTAGCCCTTTGTCAGATGAGTAGATTGCAAAAATTTTCTCCCATTCTGCAGGTTGCCTGTTCACTCTGATGGTAGTTTCTTTTGCTGTGCAGAAGCTCTTTAGTTTAATTAGATCCCATTTGTCAATTTTGGCTTTTGTTGCCATTGCTTTTGGTGTTTTAGACGTGAAGTCCTTGCCAGTGCCTATGTCCTGAATGGTATTGCCTAGGTTTTCTTCTAGGGTTTTTATGGTTTTAGGTCTAACATTTAAGTCTTTAATCCACCTTGAATTAATTTTTGTATAAGGTGTAAGTAAGGGATCCAGTTTCAGCTTTTTACATTTGGCTAGCCAGTTTTCCCAGCACCATTTATTAAATAGGGAATCCTTTCCCCATTTCTTGTTTTTGTCAGGTTTGTCAAAGATCAGATGGTTGTAGATGTGTGGTATTATTTCTGAGGGCTCTGTTCTGTTCCATTGGTCTATATCTCTGTTTTGGTACCAGTACCATGCTGTTTTGGTTACCATAGCCTTGTAGTATAGTTTGATGTCAAGTAGCGTGATGTCTCCAGCTTTGTTCTTTTGGCTTAGGATTGTCTTGGCAATGCAGGCTCTTTTTTGGTTCCATATGAACTTTAAAGTAATTTTCTTCCAATTCTGTGAAGAAAGTCATTGGTAGCTTGATGGAGATGGCATTGAATCTATAAATTACCTTGGGCGGTATGGCCATTTTCACAATATTGATTCTTCATATCCATGAGCATGGAATGTTCTTCCATTTGTTTGTGTCCTCTTTTATTTCGTTGAGCAGTGGTTTGTGGTTCTCCTTGAAGAGGTCCCTCACATCACTTGTAAGTTGGGTTCCTAGGTATTTTATTCTCTTTGAATGGGAGTTCACTCATGATTTGGCTCTCTGTTAGTCTGTTATTGGTGTATAAGAATG
This sequence comes from Homo sapiens, assembly GCF_000001405.40. Lineage (NCBI taxonomy): Eukaryota > Metazoa > Chordata > Mammalia > Primates > Hominidae > Homo > Homo sapiens. Next base: position 61,155,714 of record NC_000016.10, read on the forward strand.
CTTGTGATTTTTGCACATTGATTTTGTATCTTGAGACTTTGCTGAAGTTGCTGATCAGCTTAAGGAGATTTTGGGCTGAGACGATGGGGTTTTCTAAATATACAATCATGTCTTCTGCAAACAGGGACAGTTTGACTTCCTCTTTTCCTAATTGAATACCCTTTATTTCTTTCTCCTGCCTGATTGCCCTGGCCAGAACTTCCAACACTATGTTGAATAGGAGTGGTGAGAGAGGGCATCCCTGTCTTGTGCCAGTTTTCAAAGTGAATGCTTCCAGTTTTTGCCCATTCAGTATGATATTAGCTGTGAGTTTGTCATAAATAGCTCTTATCATTTTGAAATACGTCCCATCAATATCTAATTTATTGAGAGTTTTTAGCATGAAGGGCTGTTGAGTTTTGTCAGAGGTCTTTTCTGCATCTTTTGAGATAATCATGTGGTTTTTGTCTTTGGTTCTGTTTATATGCTGGATTGCATTTATTGATTTGCCTATGTTGAACCAGCCTTGCATCCCAGAGATGAAGCCCACTTGATCATGTTGGATAAGCTTTTTGATGTGCTGCTGGATTCGGTTTGCCAGTATTTTACTGAGGATTTTTGCATCAAAGTTCATCAGGGATATTGGTCTAAAATTCTCTTTTTTTGTTGTGTGTCTCTCCCAGGCTTTGGTATCAGGTTGATGCTGGCCTCATAAAATGAGTTAGGGAGGATTCCCTCTTTTTCTGTTGATTGGAATAGTTTCAGAAGGAATGGTACCAGTTCCTCCTTGTACCTCTGGCAGAATTCGGCTGTGAATCCATCTGGTCCTGGACTTTTTATGGTTGGTAGGCTATTAATTATTGCCTCAATTTCAGAGCCTGTTGTTGGTCTATTCAGGGATTCAACTTCTTCCTGGTTTAGTCTTGGGAGGGTGTATGTGTCCAGGAATTTATCCATTTCTTCTAGATTTTCTAGTTTATTTGCATAGAGGTGTTTATAGTATTCTCTGATGGTAGTTTGTGTTTCTGTGGGATCATTGGTGGTATCTCCTTTATCATTTTTTATTGCGTCTATTTGATTCTTCTCTCTTTTCTTCTTTATTAGTCTTGCTAGTGGTCTAACAATTTTCTTGATCGTTTCAAAAAACCAGCTCCTGGATTCATTGATTTTTTGAAGGGTTTTTGATTTTTCTACCCTTATCTAACTGGATGATTCTAATACATCCTTTGCCTGATGCCTTGTGAGGCAGAGTGAGAATCCTTTTTTCTGATTTCATCATCTAAACTTTCTACTTGTTGTCTTGAAGCTACTTTGGTTAAGAAATATACTATGCACTCCTAAGCAGTGAAGATGTTCTCTTTTCTCTGAGTTCTCAATATTTAGTATGGTTTAGAATCGATAATGACTATAACATAAATTATTAACTGGATAAACAAATAAATGATACAAATCCTAATCTTTAGCAAATGTAAATATTTTCTGAATTTCATATTATATTGAAATTAAGAGAAAGAGAAAAGAAAGGTCAATTTTATTCAACAGCTATACCTTAGCTTTCATTTTTTAAAAAATCTTAGGTATACCCTATTTGATGCATGCTTCTTAGTATGCACAAGGTAATAATTCAGAACATTTCGAGGAAATCCTACTAAACAAGAAATTATAACGTCACACCCCTAACAACAAATACAAAATAATTTCACACATAATCACAACTTCAATTTAGATCTCTTTAATGGACTCTTTCTATCCTTAAAGGCTGTGTGTGAATATGATAATTTATTTATTATGGCATAAAATTTAACATGTAGAGACCAAAACTATGTGGCACACTGGATGGCAGATTTGTGGTCTGTGCTGTTTCTCTTCTCTAAAATATGTCCAAATTTTGTCAAAGAAATTTTGAAAGTTGCTCAAACATTGTAGCAGCAGTGCAATTGGCAAAATAACAATAATAATTAAACAAATTGAAGTCAAGTTAGATATATTCAAAATTTTAAACATACTTACCTATTTATTAGTACATTCCAATTCTGTGAATCCCACTACTACAGAAATAGTTGCTATAGCACATTAGCATATAAGGATATATTTATAAATATATTTATGAAAGTATTTTTTGGGAAAACTACCTGAGGCAACCTAAAGGTACATTAGATTGGAGACTCTTTAATGAAAGTTTTCTTTTGTGTTATTTTGTTTATATCACACTTAGCAAATGCTGCCTATGATCCTCTTACTTCAGTAATAAACATTATTAAGAAAATAAATCCAAGGCTAAATGTGTAAAGTGAAGTAAGTTTCCCCATGAAATCTTGAGCAAAGTCCTAGTAATGCTCATACTCTTAGGTATTTCCAGAGCAAGATCTCTGATGAGCAGGAGGCAGATCCAGACACATCTTATTGCATAAAGCAATGCCTAGAGAGAAGCAACCCCCAAATCCAAAAATTACATTGACAATTCAGGAGAGAAGGGAAAAGGGAAAGTAAAAGAAAGAGAGACGGGGAGACAGAGACTGAGTTAGTTCTCCCCACTCACACCAAAAGCTCCATCTTCTATATTTGTGTTTCATTTTTATTCATGCCCCACAATTAGCATCCTTCTTTGGAGAAGAATAAAGTAGGAGAGATGGAGAAGGTGAGTGTAATTTCCTTACTGAGGCCAATACACTTGACATTCATTGTTGGTATTAGCGTGGAGGTTGAACCTAGGAGATTCAGGCTCCTCTCCTTTCCAACATCATGAATTTCCATTCTTAGTACTAAAAACAATAAATTTTGAAAAAATTGTAATAAAAAAATTAACATACATAAAAATAATTTAAATTCTACTTTATTTCTATTAACCACTGTAATCTTGTCCTCACATTCTAGCTCAAACTTCCTTCACTTAGAATTTTCTGTAGATGGGGTCCTTATTAAAATTTAAGACTAGATTGAATCTTGACAACCACAGAGCATCACAGTGAAATGAATTCCGTAATAATTAAGCCCCTTTGCATTTATCACATTTACTTTATCAAATACAAATGAGGGGAATCATTACCTAGCAAAACAGAAAAATCTGGAAGTAATTCATACACGTTTAAGGCTGGATTTGGAAAAGTAAGGGTTTCTCAAGGAAACTTCTATTACATTAAATCATACAATTGATCCTGAAAAAATAAATATTTATGTCATTATATTTTATCACAAAATCTATATTGTTATGGAAATTGCTGTGATCAGTGGTAATTTGCTTTTTTTTTGGTATTTACTCCAAAGTTACATTACTGTCACTGCCAAAGGGATGTTAGATTTGGTTAGTAGCTCCTTATCTTACTAGGCTTTACCTATAATAGGCATTTAAAAAGGAAAGAAATATACAACAAATATGTACCCATATAAATCCAAAACAATTTAAAAATAGGAAGGAAATATAAGTTTATTTTTAAGCCATGACTTGTATCTAAATAAGGACACATCTTCAAATATCCTAATGAGTTTTTTAAGAACTGAGTTATTTGCAATGTAATAAAAAAAGTCTGCTAAATCCTGTCTTTGCTCAAAACTTCCAAATCTGTGGATTCCATTAAAAAACAAATACAAAAAGACTAGGTAAGACTTTGCATTATGTTAATTAATTAATTGTATAATAGGGGCTGGGGACTGTATAATGTGAGGCCAAACGATTTGAATTTCTTTAATTCTTTTTTCATAGTTTTCATAGTTCCCCAATATGACCATAAAAGTAATGAAGCTCTGATGAAATGTGCATTAGTATAATATCCTGACTAAATCCAAGTTAATATTCTGTCCATGTTATGTTTTCAAAATTGCCTTTTCACTATAGTGAAGAAAGCCTCGATGACATATTTGAAGAAAAAATGAGAATGAGCTGATAGTACCGTAGAAGTGTTGAGTTCAAATCTCAGGTCCGTTGTTTCCTTACTGTGTGACCTTGGGAAAGATTAAATAATATTTCCAAAACTAATCTCTCTTTACATGGTATTTAATTTATCTCGCTGAATGAAAAGATGCAGATGCCTGTTTCAGTGTCTGCTATATAGTAGATAATCATTAAATATTCGTGCCTCTCCCAATGGACACATTCATCTTATGTCAATATTCTTAACACTTTTGTTTTTATTCATATGAATGCCTGCCAGCATTCGATATTGCAGTGTAATAAGATTTTCTTTAGCACCATTTTTAGACTTATCAAAATTTCAAATTTTTTATCCTTTTAAGAGTTGTTAATAGTGTGAGCTCTCATAGTGAATGACACACAATTACTTTATTAACATATTAGGACAATATCCCTGCAATGATATAAATTCACCAATTTATATTACTTAGAAATTACTTTTTAAAGTTAATTCATTTAAATTTTATTGGTAAGTTTACCCAGAGAATCTAAGTAGACAGTTCTTCAATTGAAAAAAAGTGTTCCATACTATATTTTTTTTTGAAAATGCATCTTTGAGTGTATATTCCTGAAATTTTGAAAGTGGTTCTCCTCTGAAGTTCTTTATAGAAAATTGAGTGACTGCTTTAGATAGATCATATTTATTTATTTATTTATTTTATTATTATTATACTTTAAGTTTTAGGGTATATGTGCACAATGTGCAGGTTTGTTACATATGTATACATGTGCCATGTTGGTGTGCTGCACCCATTAACTCGTCATTTAGCATTAGGTATATCTCCTAATGCTATCCCTCCCCCCTCCCCCACCCCACAATTTATTATTAGTTGATAAAAGAAAATGTATACCTGTAATAGTGATCTGTAGCTCTAATTCCAAAACCTGTTACTCTGTATTGAGAGCTTCACTAAGAATGACAAATTGTTAAAGTGTATTTGCCTCTTTTTTTAACACATAAATCCAAAATGAATTTGCTCATTTTATTAAAACTTAAATTTATTCCTCAAAATTTTCCATGCATTTACAAAATATAAGTTGCATGTGGAATATGTAAACTATGACATGTTGATATGTGTAATGTTATAAAATAGATTAGTTTCGAGATATATAGTATTGACTTGGAGTTATTTAGATATGAGTGGGTTTTCTTCTAAAAAATGACTCCAGAAACAAAATTAACTGGACCATATCTGTCAATTTGATAAAAAAACTATAGTGACAGACTTAAAAAACCTATTTTATTTTAGCCAACCCTGAAATCAAGGCACTTGCTTTTGATAATTCTGTCTTAAAATAAGTTTGTAGTCAGAAAAATTTAAAACTCAAAAACAAGTTTTCATTTTATGTGCCTTGTTTGGTGTTTCTAATAGTTCATACCTGTTACTTGATAAATAGTAAATACATTATTCTTTATCGTAACCTAGAATTCATTCCACAAATCAATTAGAGTGAAATATTGTTTTTTATTTTATAATTTAATTAATTTTTAAACATGTTTTATACCATGTTAGGTATTTATTTTTCTGAAAATTTTGTTGTGTTTAGTTTTGGCATTTTCTTAACTAATTTTCTTATAATAAAATTGAATAATATACGCTTATCATGTTAGAAACAGAAATGTAAATACCTTACAATTTTCCCTAAGTGATACCATTTATGTTCCTATGAGAACTCTCTTACTTGTTAAGACTTCCATATTTAGGAATGTGTGGGGTGCGTGTGTGAAAATATGTGTATTGTGTGCACTGTGGATGGGGTTAGAGAAGGAATTAGAGCAGTAATCCTGATTTTCACCTTAAAAGCTTCTCTTTTTTATAAAACTACATGAACACACATATACACACACATAAAGACACATGAGTAAATGTAACTGAGGTAACTGGTACCTGCAGAGGTAAACATATTGACATTGCATAACAATATCGATTTTGTCTCCCAAGTCTATACCTTTATATATATTTAACTTTGAAATAATGTTGGAAATGTGGTCTTTGAGGATCTTGATCAATAGTTCTCAGCCTGGTGATGTGATAATGGTATTAGTAGTAGAAATAAATATAGAAAAGGAAGAAAGGATTTGGAGATAAGATAACTGGTTTTAGATGTGGTATAGTGGAAATAGCCCTGCTTTAGGATGCTGAAAATTTTTATTTTGTTCTTGTTCATGCTGCTGACTAGTTTTTGACTTTGGCAATGTCACTTCTGTGTTCTGTCTCAGTTTTTTTATATGTATTTAACAGTATTAAAATATAACTCTATAGATCTTCAAAATTTTATAAGTCAATGATTTATCATTGGTCAGTAATTTTATTTAATAGGCACATGGGTGCATTGTTTTCCATTTGTCTCCAACCACTTGTTAAATGTGAGTCAGTTGCATTGGCATGGCTAAATTCTGAAGGATAATCAATAATAAGTGAAAATTGTTAATGAATCTACCATATAGCCCATTAGGTATTTTGCGATGCAACAATGTTTAAATATTATGATTAGTAATATTCTTTTAGTATCAGGAGTTGTGATGAAGTAAGCAGTACTCATCATTAACAACCATCTCAAATTAGGTAGCTCCCATTTTATATATATATAGAACATCAAGGAAATAGAAAAATTGAAAGCAACTTGTTATTCCACTTTGCTTTCTGAATTCAAATACAAATCCAGGATTAGAGCATTGGTGAGCTTAATCTGAAGTAGTTTTGTGACCCTGAAATATTCCCTTCTAACTCAGCACTTTGATTATGCACAGTGTTAGTGCTCAGTACATACATTCTTCATAAATGGCGAGTCAGAAACCTTGAACTTTTTACCTAGTGTCCAGTCTTCCTCTCATCTATATCAACTTTACCTAGATTTTACTCAGGGGAGCAAAGTCCCTCACTAAAAAGGTCTCCACGTTCCCTTCCATCTGGGGTTGATCATGCAGTGTAGCCAGAAGAATGCATAAAAAAGTCATGAGGTAGGGGTCAAGTAAAGCTCTTCAAAGGAATATATTCAGTTCACATGAGGCTTTTTGCCATACACACCTGTCTTCATGTTGGTCTATATAATGATGCTCCCCACGTGGTCACAATGTTTTGGCCTTAGTATCTAATCTTAATATTCTTGAGCTATTGAATCAAAACAACCACTGCTTAACTCCAAAATTATTACCTGAGAAGAACACAAATTTCTACTTCATTAAGCCAGTGGAAATTGTTTTCTTTTGTGTCATGCAGAACCAATTTTTAAAATTATGACTATATGGGTAGTTGGGAGATGTATTTAATGAAGAAATAGAAGAGTACAATATCTAAAAAACTTCGGAAATACAAAAAGTTATGCATTTGATTCTAGATTTTGAATATATTGCAAACATTTTACAAACCCAAAAACTCTCAAGTCCAGGAGAAAGACTAAGGCAAGAATTAATCATATGTCATTTTGTAGCATAAAATTACATGTTTCAAAAGTTCCATTCTGCCTTCAAATGTAAGGTGTTCAGAAAGAGTTACAATAGAGAGGAAACAAGGATAAATTATACTTAATTGCAATTCTGTTTCCCTAGCCACACTTGGGACTAGAACACAAAGAACATGATCAAAAACACCAAATTCTGCCAAATTAGAAGACAAACTTCTAATGTAATTAGCACTCAATGAATTTGATAAATATTCACAGCTACAACATTATAGTATGAATAATAAAGAAAAATGCTTTTATTATTTATTCAACAAATCTTTTTCAAATGCTTCTAATTTGCTTGATAAGGGCCTTAGGATTCGACTGAATATACTTCTTTACAAATTCCCTTAGCGTTATATTATAAACCATGTATCAGGTTAGCATAAGTGCAAGAGGATTTCTTTCCTAGAATTGTAAGAGTAATAGGGCAGATACCTCAACATCTAGAATGTAGTCCTGCCTGTTCAAGAACTAGCTGGTTGATTTGGGGCCAGCTATTTACTCTTCCTGAACTTTGCTTTCTTTATATTTAAAATGAAAATAATAATACAAATTCATGAGGTTGCTTTATGATTAAATGTTTTAACATGTAATTTTTCTGAATAAGCTGACAAACGAATATTATATGGAATAGTGAGAAGGAGAAAAATTATTTAGTATTTATTAAACACTGGTAAGGACCCCAAATACATTATTAATGCCATTCTCGGCACCTAACTAAAGACCATGCCATCTTGTTACCCCTTCAAGCATCTAGAAATCTAACTTAATAATATTGGAAAAGGAAACATCAGAGGATTCCCACTGGAAAGATTATGAAAGTTCATTCTTTTATATTTAGAATCACTGATTTATGGTCGTTGTTTCCATGTAAGTCAGTTTATTTTTATTTGTATTTTTATTTTTTTGAGATGGAGTCTGGCTGTTGCCCAGGCTGGAGTGCAGTGGCGCAATGTCCGCTCACTGCAGGCTGCGCCCCCTGGGTTCACGCCATTCTCCTGCCTCAGCCTCCGGAGTAGCTGGGACTACAGGTGCCCGCCACCTCGCCTGGCTAATTTTTTGTATTTTTAGTAGAGATGGGGTTTCACCGTGTTAGCCAGGATGGTCTGATCTCCTGACCTCGTGATCTGCCCGCCTCGGCCTCCCAAAGTGCTAGGATTACAGGTGTGAGCCACTGCGCCCAGTCAACTCAGTTTATTTTAATTATATAACATTAAGCTGGGCCAGGCGCAGTGGCTCACGCCTATAATCCCATCACTTTGGGAGACCGAGGTGGGAAGATCACAAGGTCGAGAGATCAAAGCTATCCTGGCCAAACCACCCCTCTACTAAAAATACAAAAATTAGCTGGGCCTGGTGATGTGCACCTGTAGTCCCTGCTGCTCGGGAGGCTGAGGCAGGAGAATTGCTTGAAGCCCGGAGGTGGAAGTTGCAGTGAGCTGAGGTCATGCCACTGCACTCCAGCCTGGCAATAGAGTGAGACTCAGTCTCAAAAAACAAAGCAAAACAAAACAACAACAACAAAAAAAAAACATTAAGCTGGATGTTAGAAACAGCTGAGTAAATTAAATTCTTGACTAGTGGATTTTTTTTTTTTTTTTTGAGACTGAATCTCCCTCTGTTGCCCATGCTGGAAGGCAGTGGCCCAATCTCGGTTCATTGTAGCCTCCACCTCTCAGGTTCAAGTGATTCTTGTGGCTCAACCTCTCAAGTAGCTGGGATTACAGGCATGTGCCACCATGTCCAGCTAATTTTTGTATTTTTAATAGAGATGGGGTTTTACCCTGTTGGCCAGGCTGGTCTCAAACTCCTGGCCTCAAGTGACCTGCCTGCCTCAGTCTCCCAAAGTGCTGGGATTACAGGTGTGAGCCACCATTTTTGGTTGTTGATATTTAGACTATAAAGTTGTTTCTTTTTTTTCTCCTCCTCCTCCTATTCCTTTGTCTTTTTTGTATAATGTGGTTTGAGGCATATAATTATCATTCAGTCTGTAATATAAGAATTAAAATATTAAGCATTTTGAAATTTTAGAAATTAGTTGTAGATTTACGAATTTACTATGTAAGACATTCTATAAGACATCTATCCTGTGTTCTTTAAAAAAAGTCAATGTCATAAGAAACAAGCAACCATGAAAAAAAGACAGGGTTTTTATTCTATTAAAATAAACTAAAGAGGCAGTTACACACACACACACACACACACACACACACACACACACACACACAAATGCAGTGTGTGATCCTGGCATCAGCAAGATGGTGAAATAAAATGTCTCTTGGCATCACTTACCCCACAAACATACAATGAGAAGTTATTCAAAAATAATAATACCACTCAGGTATGTTGGCTCATGCCTGTAATCCCAGCACTTTGGGAGGCCGAGGCAGGTTGAGGTGGGAGAATTGCTTGAACCTGGGAGAGGGAGGTTATGGTGAGCCGAGATCCTGTCACTGTACTCCAGCCTGGGCGACAGAGCGAGACTCTTATCTCAAAAAAACAAAAACAAAAACAAAAAACAATAATACCACTCTGAATTCAGCAGAACTTGGGGCAAAAGTAGAGAAAATTCTAGGATTACAAAATCAAGACAAGTCACAAATAAGAAAAACAGTCATTTCAAAGTGTGCCACCCCCTCCTACAAGCCAGCATAATGCTACTCACAAGGAATTTCCCTAGACTTATGTTTTGCAAGGTGAGAGGAAAGAATTGAAAGTGGACATTCAATCTGTGGACTGGTTTGGAAATCTTCACGGAAAGCCCACTTTGGTCTCCTTCCAAAATAACCATTAGGAGTCCAGGAGGACTGAACTACCCAGAATGAATTTGGAATAAAGATTGGAATGCTGACTGCAGTGACTAGCGTGTAGATATTGGTGACTACTCTGCACTAGGATCAGCAGGGATGCCACATTGAAGAGACTGGCCTGCACCATAGTGCTGCAAGGAACATGATCCACAGGAAGATCCAAATCCCTGGCCAGATTTTCCTCAAAGCCCGGGTGTTTTACTTGGAGTCTTCCCCTGGCCCAGAAACAACTAAAAGGTCAAGATTAAGTTCAGGTGCCTTTAACTTTTTTTCCAGACTGGGAAACAATGACAGGGTAACAATATAGTTTGAAGGCAACATTTAAGTTCCAGTGTTCACTATAGGTCTTCCTCAGAATGGGAAACAAGGAAGCACAACAATTTAGTTTCAGAACAGTGTGTAAATTCTGATATTCACTATAATCTTCACCACATTGGGAAACAATGGGAAGACAATGAGTTCATTCCAGCACAGTGTTTCAGCTCTGGTGCTCACTGTAATTATTCCCCAGAATTGTGACCAACAATGAACCAGCATTTAAGTTCTGAATTTAGTAAATGTCTAACAACACCAAGAAACCTCTGTAAAAATTGGAAGAGGTGACTGTCTTCTCAAATGCACAGGCATCAATGTAAAGACACATGAACAGTGAAAACTTGATTCAATTTGACAACACCAAAAGAAACCAACACAGCTCCAGCAATGGACCCAGTAGAACTGAAGGTCTAGAAAATGTCTGATAAAGAATTAAGAATAATCTTAAAGAAGTCCAGGGTATCATAAGAAAATACGAATAGAAAATGAAATAATTTTCTTAATTCCAGGAATAAAATAAAAAATTCAACAAAGAAATAGAAACATTAAAAAAAGAAAACCTACAAACAAGAAATACAGTGACTGAAATAAAGAGATTGTAAAAAGCTTTGTTGATCAAAGAAAAGCATTAGCAGGCTTGAAGACAGAACATGTGAAATTATCCAATCACAGAACCGAAAAGGAAATAGCATAAACAAAGTGAAGAAGACATACAAGAATTATGAAACACCATCAACAAACTAACCTTTGCCTTTTAGGAACTCCCAAAGGAGGTGAGAAAGAAAAAGCCCTAAAAAGCATATTTAAGGGAATAGTGGCTAAAAATTTTTCAAATCTGGAGACAAATGACTGCATCCGGCTACAAGAAGCTCAGAAATCACCAATCGATTCAACTCAAAGAGGAATTCCCCAAGGCATGTCATAATCAAATTAGCAAAGATCAAACACACAAATATTCAAAGCAGTAAGAAAAAAAAATCGCTATCTTCTGAGTCACAATATGGGTTTTAGCAGGTTTCTCAGCAGAAACCCTGATGCTCAAGAGAGAGTGAGATGTTATATTTGAAGTGCTGAACGAAAAAAATATTTTCAATCAAGAATACCCAGCAAAGATAACCTCCAAACATGAAAGAAAGATAAAGACTTTCAGAGACAAACAAAAGCTGAGGAAATTTATCAACACCAGACATGTCTTACAAGAAATGATAAAGGGAGTTCTTTAATCTAAAATAAATGGACACTAGATGCAACAAGAAACCGTCTGAAGGTATTGAACTCCCAGGTAAAAGAAAGAAAATAGACAAACTTAAAATACTCCTAATACTGTAATCGGGATAAGTAAATCATATATCCTATGTATGAAGACTAAAAGACAAAAATGTTAAAAATAACTGCAGGCCAGGTGCGGTGGCTCACGCCCAGTAATCCCAGCACTTTGGGAGGTTGAGGCGGGCAGATCACGAGATCAAGAGATTGAGACCAGCCTGGCCAACATGGTGAAACCCCATCTCTCCTAAAAATACAAAAATTAGATGGGTATGGTGGCTCACGCCTGTAATCCCAGCTACTCAGGAGGCTGAGGCAGGAGAATCGCTTGAACCCAGGAGGTGGAGTTTGTAGTCAGCCGAGGTCACACCGCTGCACTCCAGCCTGGCGAGAGAGTAAGACTCAGTCTCAAAAAACAACAACAACAACATCAAAGACTACAACAATTAGTTAAGAGATAGGCAATATAAAAAGATGTCAATTGGAATATGAAAAGTAAAAATCTGGGGGGTGGTATGAAAGTATAGAGATGGTGTTTGTTACTTTCTCTTTATGGTAAAAGTTATGTCGGCCGGGCGCGGTGGCTCACGCCTGTAATCCCAGCACTTTGGGAGGCCGAGGCGGGCGGATCACGAGGTCAGGAGATCGAGACCATCCTGGCTAACAAGGTGAAACCCCGTCTCTACTAAAAATACAAAAAATTAGCCGGGCGTGGTAGCGGGCGCCTGTAGTCCCAGCTACTCGGGAGGCTGAGGCAGGAGAATGGCGTGAACCCGGGAGGCGGAGCTTGCAGTGAGCCGAGATCGCGCCACTGCACTCCAGCCTGGGCGACAGAGCGAGACTCCGTCTCAAAAAAAAAAAAAAAAAAAAAAAAAAAAAGTTATGTCATTATCAGTTTAAAATAAATGTTGTAACTGTAAGATAGTTTTATGGCCAGGTGCGGTGGCTCACGCCTGTAATCCAGCACTTTGGGAGGCCGAGACGGGCGGATCACGAGGTCAGGAGATCGAGACCATCCCGGCTAACACGGTGAAACCCCGTCTCTACTAAAAATAATAATAAAAAAAAAAACTGGCCGGGCATAGTGGCCAGCGCGTGTAATCCCAGCTACTCAGGAGGCTGAGGAAGGAGAATGGTGTGAACGCGGGAGGCGGAGCCTGCAGTGAGCCGAGATCGTGCCACTGCACCCCAGCCTGGGCTACTGAGTGAGACTCCGTCTCAAAAAAAAAAAAAAAAAAAAAAAAAGATGGTTTTATGTAATGCTTCATGATACTCACAAATCAAAAACCTGTAATAGATATACTGGAAAAAAATAGCACAAAATTAAATATACTACTAAAGAAAAATTGCTTAACCACAAAGGAAAACAGCAAAAGAGAGAAAAAAAGACATAAAGGTTTCCAAACAACCAAAAAACAAGTAGTACAATGGCAGTAGTAAACCCTTATCTGTCAATAATAGCCTTGAATGTAGATGAATTAAATTTTCTAATTAAAAAACATATAGTGGTTAAACGGATTTTTTAAAAGACTGAGCTATATGCCGTGTACAAAAAAATTCACTTTCCTCATAAAGGCACACACATATTGAAAGGGAAGAATAGAAAAAGATACTCTCTTTAAATGAAAACCAAAAGAACAGGAGTAGCTATACTTATATTTTATAAAAATAGACTTTAATAATAGTAAAGAAAGAGAACGCTGTTATATAATGATAAAGGAGTCAATACAGCAAGAGGTTTTAACAATTGTAAGTATATATGAACTCAATGCTGGAGCACCCAAACATATAAAACAAATCTTGAAAGACCTAAGGGAGAAATTGACTGTAATACAATAATAATAATAATAAATTTCAACGTCTTACTTTCAGCAATGGACAGATCATCCAGAGAGAAAATCAGCAATAACAAAAAAATCAGAGTTAAACTTCATCTAAACTGAATGAAACTAATGGACATTTGCAGAACATTCTATTGAACAGATAAAGAATACAAATTTTTCTCAACAGCATATGGAGCAGTCTCCAGAATAGACCACGTGTTAGGTTACAAAACAAGTCTTAACACATTTTTTAAAAATCAAAATCATATCAAGTATCTTTCTGATGACAATGAATTAAAACTAGAAATCAGCAACAGAAAGATCTTTGGAAACTGCACAAATTCATAAAAATTAAACAGCATGCTCCTGAACAACAAACAGAGCAATGAAGAAATCAAAAAGGAAATTAAAAATGACAAAAAAATGAATACAACATACCAAACCAAAATCTAAGGAATACAGCAAAAGCAATTCTAAAAGGACGGCTTATAACAATAAATGCCTACATTGAAAAAGTGGAAATACTTCAAATAGACAACCTAATTATGTCCCTAAAGGAATCAGAAAAGCAAGAACAAACCGAACTTGGAATTAATAGAAAAAAAGAACTAAGAAAGATCAGAGTAGAAATAAGCAAAATCAAAACAAAAAATGGACAAAACATTAATAAAACCAAAGATTGGTTTTCTGAAGAGATAAACAGATCAATAAACCTTTAGTTAGACTAAGAAAAAGAGAGGTAAGACCCAAATAAATAATATTAGAGATTAAAAAGAAGACATTAAAATTGTTACCACATAAATACAAAGTATCATTAAAGTATGTTATGAACAACTGTATCCCAACAATTTGGAAAACCTAGAAGAAATGGGAAAATTCCTGGACACATACAGCCTACCAAGATTGAACCATGAAGAGATAGAAAACCTGAACAGACCAATAACGTGTAATGAGATTGAAGCAGTAGTACAAAGTCCCTCATCAAAGAAAGGCCCAGGACCTGATGGCTTCACTGCTGAAATCTACCAAATATTTAAAGAAGCACCAATACATATTCTAATTAAACTAATCCAAAAACTCGAAAAGGGGAGAATATTTCAAAACTTGTTTTACAAGGTCAGCATTACCCTTATACCCAAACTAGACAAGGATACAACCACAAAGGAAAACTAAAGGCCAACATATCTGATGAGCATAGATGCAAAAATTCTCAACAAAATACTAACAAATTAAATTCGACAATAAATTTAAAATATAATTCATCATGATTGTGTTAGTCCGTTCTCATGCTGCTGTGAAGAAATATCCGAGACTGCACAATTTATAAAGGAAAAAGTTTTAATTGAATTACAGTTCTGCATGACTGGGGAGGCCTCAGGAAATTTACAATCATGGCAGAAGGCATCTCTTCACAGTGTGGCAAGAAAGAGAATGAGAGCCGAGCAAAGGGGGAAAAGCCTTTACAAATTCAGATCCTGTGAGAACTAATTCACTATCATGAGAGCAGGATGGGGGAAAATCCCCCATGATTCAATTATCTTCACCTGGTCCCTTCCATGATACTTGGGGATTATGGGAACTACAATTCAATATGAGAGTTGGGTGGGACACAGCCAAACCGTATCAATGATCAAGTGGTTTTCATCTCAGGGATGCAAGAATGGTTCAGCAAACACAAATCAATGCTGAAAAAGCATTGATTAAAATGCTTTCAATAAATTCATTGATTGATTTAAAAAGCATTTAATCAACACTGCAAAATTTAACATCCCTTCATGATAAAAACCCTCAGCAAACTGGGTATAGAAGCAACATACTTCAAAACAATAAAGGTCATGTGATACAGACTTACAGCTAACATCATACTGAATGAGAAAAAAATGGGAAGTCTTTTTTCTCCAGTATCTGAAACAAGACAAGGATGCCCACTTTCACCACTTCTATTCAACAGTACTAGAAGTCCTAGCTAGAGCAATTAGGCAAGAGAAATAAAAAAGTTATCTAAATTGTAGAGGAATAAGTCAAATTAGCTTTGTTGCAGACAACAAGATCATATATTTAGAAAAACGTAAAGACTCCACCAAATTCTCTTAGAACTGATAAATTTAGTAAAGTTGCAGGATACAAACTCAACGTACAAAACTCAGTAGTGTTTCTTTACACTAACAGTGATCAACCAATTATTTTTCAAATAAATCAAGAAAGCAGTCCACATATAATAGTTACAAAAAATATACCCAAAGAATACAGTTAACCAAAGAAGTAAAAGATTTCTACAATTAAAACTATAAAACACTGATTAAATAAATTAAAGAGAACGCAGAATATAGAGAGATATTCCATGCTCATAGTTTGAAAGAATCAATATTGATAAAAGGTCTATACTACCCAAAGTGATCTACAAATTTAGTGCAATCTCTGTCAAAATACTAATAACAATCTTCAAAGAAATGTGAAAAAAAATCTGAAAATCTGTATGTTACCACAAAAGATCTGAATAGCTAAAGCAATCCTGAGCAAAAAGAACAAAGCTGAAGATATTCCATTACCTGACTTCAAGATATACTACAAAGTTATACTAGTCAAAACAGCATGGCACTGGCATAAAACTAAACACATAAGCCAGTGGAACAGAATAGAGAACACAGAAATGTCCATATGCAGAAGAAAGAAACTACACCCCTATCTCTCTCCATATACAAAACTCAAAAATGGATTAAAGACTTAAATATAAGACTTGAAACTATGAAACAACTAGATAAAAACATGGAGGGAACACTTCAGGGTATTGGTCTGGGCAAATATTTTTTGAGTAAGATACAAAAATAGGCAACAAAAGCAAAATAAATGTTATATATAACATTTTATATAATCTTATATATAATATTATATAATGTTAAAAAGTTTCCACAAAGAAAAAGAAACAACAGAGTGAAGAGACAACCTATATAATGGGAGAAATATTTGCAAACTATCCATCTGACAAGGGATAAATAACTTGAATATATAAGAAATTCAAACCAAACAACATAGTGGCAAAAAACACCCCACGAATAACCCCCCAAAAACATGAATTGCCCAAAAAAAAAGGGCAAAAGATCTGAATTGACATTTCTGAAAAGAAAACATCAAAATGGCCAACAGGTATATTAAAAATGCTCATTATCATTAATCATCAGTATAATGCAAATCAAAACCACAATGAGCTGTTATCTTGCCCCAGTTATAATGACTATTATTAAAAAGACAAAAAGTAATAGATGCTGGTGAGGATGTGGAGAAAGGAAAATGCCAACAAACTGTTGGTGGAAATGTAAATTAATACAATACAGCCACTAGGGAAAACAATATAGTGATGTCTCAGAAAACTAAAAGTAGAACTAATATATAATTCAGGAATCCCACTGCTGGGTATCAGTCCAAAAGAAGGGAAATCAGTGCATCAAAGAGACATCTGCACTCCCATTTTTATTGCAACACTATTTCCAATAGCCAAGATATGAAATCATCCTAAGTGTTGATCAGTGAATGAATGGATAAAGAAACTACGGTATGTATGTATGTATGTGTGTTTGTGTGTGCATGTTTGTGTGTATATAATTTCTTTTATGTATACATATAAAAGAAAATATTATTCAGCCATAAAAATGAATGAAACTCTGTCATTTGTAGCAGCATGGAGGGAACCAGAGGCCATTATGTTAAGTGAAATAAGCTAGACACAGGAAGACAAAAATTGCATATTCTCGGTCATATGTGAGAGCTAAAAAAAAAAAAAGGTTTATCTCATGGAGGTAAAGAGTAGAATGGTGATTATCAAAGTCTTGGAAGACTAGAGGGGTGGAGGTGATGAAGAAAAGTTGTTTATAGGTACAAAGACATAGTCACATTGAAGGAGTACATTCTAGTGTTTGATAGCAAAGTAGAGTGACTATAATTGTATTTTGCTTTGTATTTTAAAACAGCTAAAAAAGATTTGGAATGTTCCCAAAACAAAGAAATGATAAATGTTCAAGGTAATAAATATTCTAATTACCCTGATTTTGTCATTACACATTGTTTCATGTATCAAAATATCAAATGTACCCCATAAATATATACAATTATGTATCAATAAAAAAGTAAAAATGCAATTTGTGATCCTTGGTAGGATCCTAGATTTTTAAAAATGTACTAAAGATATTTTAGAGACAGATGTGGAAAGTGAAATGTAGGCTATTAATTAGGATATACTCTGAAATTATTATTGATTTTTTAGGTATGATAGTGATATTATGCTGTATATGAGACTATCCTTATTTTAGGAGATGCATGCTAAAGTATTTAGGATTTTTATGGTGAGATCAACTTAATTTTAAATAATTTAACCAAAAAATTGGTTAATTAATTAAAATAAAATTATACACATATAGAATTACTGATAATGTGGCAAGATAATAATATCTAGGGAAACTAGATAAGGTGCATATGGATGTTTATTTTATTGTTTTTTAAACCTAAAAAAAATCGTCTAAAATATAAACTTTGGAGAACCAATGTTTAAGTGAACACACACCTCCTAAGCATCAACTCTATAGAGGGATATTGAAGAAGTAAGAGTACAGAGGTAAATGAAACAGGACATACCCCATAAAATTAGTATTCTTCCATAGTTTTTTTAATAAAATGAAATATGAATTAGAACACTATCTACTGATGCTATTAGAGAATAAAACTTTGTGGAGTCTGAGAGAAGAACTTGTTGAATGAATAAAAGACTAACTTATGTGAATATTCTTTGCAGGGATTGGTAACTCAATTATCCCATACAATTTGCTAAGGGATAAAATGTTTTAACCCCATAATTGTATTTATATTAATAGTACTTTATTTGCTCGTTGTCTTAAAGGAACTAAGCATGTTCTCTTCCATTTCCTTCACCCTATCCTTCTCTTTCCTTTTCACTTGTCCCAAGCCCGCCCCAGGAGATCAGGAGATGGGCTTAAAACAACTATTCACGTTGCCCTCTGCCTTTCAATTGGAATCAGGTAAAGAGTACTGGCAGCAGATTGGAGAGAACAAGGAACATGAGGCAAAGGCACCAATCTTCACAGCTGCCTGTTGGAGGAGTTCCAATAACATAAATTTACAGGTCCGGAGCCCCACCTATCCACCCAGCTTTCTGTTTGCTGATTCCCTCTCCTCCTCCTTTCAGGACTAGGGGCTGTAAAGGTGCTCCACTGGCACTCCACTGTTACCCAAGATACTTCACTATCCTTATAGATTTCACAAATCTCACTCACACTTTTGTAAGTAGCCCCTTTGTTCAACTCTGAGAGCCTCATTAATATAGAGAAACATATAGAATGCAAAAAGACATTTTTCTAAAAAAAAGTAAACCAACATATATACTAACAAAAAAAATTCTTTTTTGTTCTTCTGGTTGAAACCTACATTTACTTTTGTGGCAAACTAAAATCTTGTTTCCTAAAAACAACAATAACTAAAATGTAAATATGATGGGAAAGAACTAAACATCTTCTTATCATTGCTTTATTCTTCTTAAATTATAAAAATTAGTAGTCCAAAATAATTTCAAACAATAAAAGTGTCCAGTGTAACAGCAGGATTCTAAACACATTTTCATACATCCAGAGAGTACAACTTTATACAGTTTTCAAAAATTGGTATTGATATCGTTTGGCTGTATTCCCACCCAAATCTCATCTTGAATTTTAGCTCCCATAATCCTCACATATGGAGGGAGGGACCCAGTGGGAGGTAATTAAATCACAGGAGTGGATTTTCCCATACTGTTCTCATGATAGTAATAAGTCTCATGAGATCTGATGGTTTTATAAAGGGTAGCTCCCCTGCACACGAGCTGTTGACTGCTACCATGTAAGATATGCCTTTGCTCCTCCTTTGCCTTCTGCCATGATTGTGAGCCTTCTCAGACATGTGTAACTGTGAGACCATTAAGCCTCTTTCCTTTTTAAATTACCCAGTCTTGGGTATGTGTTTATTAGCAGCGTGAGAACAGACTAATAGAGTATATTTATATTCAAAAATATAAAAACAGGTTTATGATATAAGGTAAAGTATGGGAGATGGGGACAAAAGTAGGCTAGGCCAGTTTTTAAATTATATACATTTATAAATACATAGAAAACATTTGGAAAGGCATAGATCCAAATATTATGAGTAGTTATTTCAACCACCACCTGCAGTATTTGTGTAGTGGCCTTTGTCAATGTGGCCTCTGCAGATACTTTCACAAAAGACAAGGCCTCCACCACCTTTCCATGGGCAAGTGGCCTCTATGCCATGACCCATGATTGAGATTGTAGGATGATTGACCTATACGTACTTTTATGTGCAGCTTGAGTTTCACCAGCATGGTCTCTCCCTGTTAGTGGAAAACCTTTCCAAGAAGTTACAATTAACTAAGAGAAGCAAAAACGTTGAAAACCCAGTCTTGAGGCTGCTTTCTTATGTTGCTCACAAATTAAGGTTCCTGCCTCACCTAAAAAGCAAGACACTTCCTGCTGTCAGTACTTTTAATTAGTAGTTGGTGATTCTGTCTTCCTGGTTGGTCAGACATCTAAAGCAAACAAGAATTCTAGAGATATCCCTTCCCTGCCCCTAGAAAGTTAGAATGACAGATTTGTCCTCATGTCTCTTTTTCCTCACAGATGGTTTCCTTTTTCCAGATTCTTTTCCTATTTCTTCCAGAGTCATTTAATTAGTTCCTGGGGCTTCATCTACCATGCTTATGTAAAAGTCTTCAAATTTTACATCCCCACCCTTATTGCTTCTTCTGGACTTGCATCTTTACACTTATTGCTACTTCTAATTCATTTCATTCAAATATGAAACTTATCCTTCCCTGAACAATCAACTTCTCAATTTCAGATTTTCTTATTAATAAGTTAATGATTTCTTCATCATCTCTGGTTAGAAACATTGCAATTCATAATACTCTCTAAAATGTCACCACATACAAATTCTAGCAAACATCCATCAGTATAATTTTCCTAAAGCAACATAGTTAAAGGTTCCTGGTATGATTAATCTGTCCTCAGTGTGAATCAGCTCAACACTCTCTCTCCATCCTTTTCTTCATCTTCTGTATCACTGTTCTCCCTCCCAACAAACTAGCTGGCCCCAAGTTTTTGTCTTAGGCTCTGCATTTGGAGGAATTTTAACCAGGATAGGACACATTTTGATTAACTGAAAATAGTCCCAGAGTATGTCTATTGTCACAAAGTCATTATAAATAGCATTTTCATTCATTCTGTCAGTTTTTTTTTTTTGATTTGGGACATAAATGGTTTACTGATGTTCATTCTTCTTTGAGTACATGTTAGTAATGCATATTTATAGGATCGACCTCAGATTTAATAAATCTGAATATTTAGGTGGATCGGAAAATCTGCATGTTTAATAGGTATATCTGGTTGTTCCAATAGCCATTAAAGTTAAAGAGTCATTGTCCTAGAGCACATCTGAGGCTAAACTTTCCACCTAAAATACTATAAATGTTTCATCTTACTGCATTATATCTAAATCTCTTGTATGTGACAGTAAGCCCTTATGGAGTTCCAAATGGCCTTTCTGTTTTCATTCTGTAACCACTTTCCTGATGGATATATGCTCATAAACATCACAATAATTGCCATTGCCCCACTATCTCATAGCCCTCTTGTTTATTAACAACATTGCCTAAACAGGGAGTCAATTTCCTTACGCATTTTCGTATGTTAAAATCCTTCCCATCTTTTTAATCCCTAGATTAAATGTTATCTTCTTCTCAAATATTTTAATTTCCAGTCATTTTTCAGCTCTTCTTTACTTTTCTGTCGTGATATTTTGCATTAATCACTTTTAGTTTTTTCAAAATTATGTGCTCCCTTTATAATGCCACAAAAGCAGTGACACTTCTAACTTAACTGAATGGCCCTCACAATACATCTAATACAGTCTTGCAAATAACATTTGCTAAGTAAATACTTATGTAACAAATTAACTTTAGTGGTATGGATAATCAACTTTGGTTTACATTGCACAGTTAAAATTAAAGATGACTGATTATCCAAGAGCAGATTCAGGCATGACTTATGTATATGCCCATATGATATTTCAGAGAAGTCCACTTCTCCATGCAGTCATTATTTCTATCTTCTCCTGTTATGCTTTTTTTTTTCTTTTTGGTCACATTACAAGGGGTGATACCAAAGAGCCCTATGTTTGTATCTGAACTTCCTACAGTTACGGAAAAATCAGGAACCCTTTCTTCTGAATAGTTCTCCAAAGTGCTTGATTTGAGGAGTATTGATGCTAATATAACTATATGCCCATATCTAACCCAATCCTTGTAGCCAAGGAGATGTGATGATTCATTCTGTAACCACTTTCCTGATGGATGTATTTTCGTGAACATCACAATAATTTCCATTGCCCCACGATCTCATAGCCCTCATGTTTATTTAAGAACATGTCCAACAATATTGGAAAACTGAATTGCTTTATTTTCCTTTGAACCCAAAGTGGAGTTTGTTCTTTGCCAACCATAAGAACTCAGAACTGGGGAACAGAAGTACATTAAAAAAAATCAGAATGAATAAGTACTATTTAGGCCAAAAGAATAGATATCTGCTAAAGCTGAGTTATGAAGGTTTAACACAATGGAAAAGGACATTCCTGAAAAAGAGTGTCACATGTATAAATTCTGAGTTGTAAAAGAGCAATAAATACAAACTATAAATAGCTCAGTTGGTAAGAGCAAAAAGCACATCTTTGGGAACAACAGAGAACAAGGTTATGGAGGACTAACAGGTCTCATGTTCCATAGGAAGATCTTCTTTTGTGACTTTTTCTCTTGAAGAGCATGCATTAATGGTTTCAAGTAGTGTGCGTTAGTTATCTATTGATTCACAGTAATTTACTTAAAACTCAGTGGCTTAAAATAACAAAAATGTATTAGTGTTTTTGTGGTTCATGAGTCTGAACATTGCCCAGCTTTTATACAACTTCTCTGTAAAAGCTCTCCCAAGGCTGTAATCGAAATGTTTGAAGCTCACCTTGGTTGTTGGTAGTGTTCTGTTTCTTTTGTCACATTTGTAGAACTGAGGTCACCATTCTCTTACTGTCAGTGGGATTATTCTCATTTCCTAGAAACTTTTGCAGTTCCCTGCCGCCTGGTCTGGCCACATACCTCTTACAACATATTTGCTGATTTGGGATAATCCCTCTTAAGGCTTTCACTTAAGTCAGGCCCACCCAGAATTACCTAGCTTTTGATGAACTCAAAATCAACTGACTTTCAGCCTTAATTACACTTGTAAAATCCCTCCACCTTTGCCATATTATATTGGTTTGAAACAAGTCAGTTCCAGCCACACTCAAGGGGAGAAGATAACACAAGTCTGTGACTCACTGGGGGTCATCTCAATTCTAGTGTCCACTAGACAGTGCAATGTGACAGTGCAGTGGGATGCTTTCCAAGCAGTAATCCATTGGTTGACATTTCCTATTAAGCATTTCTTTTCCTTTAAAAAAAAAAGAAAATGGCAGGTTTTTGTGAACATTAATGCTCTTTTTAACCATCATCTCCCTTCCGAGACAGTCTCATTAATTTCAAAACCTGCCAAAATAGATATATATTATGTAATCTCATTCCACCTGAAAGTGAGCTAAAAGAGTCATTTAAAACTAGGTCCCCAACTGAAAATAGATACTCTTTCTCAGAAAATTATTGCTACACTCTTTGACCTCACTCAAAACATCCCATTTTAAAGAGTTTTGTTTTTTTCAGATGGATATTTCTTCTGATTGAATAAAAATTGTTTTGTGAAAAATCCAGTATTTTACTCACGCTCTCAATCAGGTGATTTGCTGAATATTTTATCATAAATTATAATAATCACTAGCTCAAACAACCAAATGAAATCTGTGGTAATTGTTACGTCCCAAAAGATTACAATTTAGAGAACTTGACATTTTCCCCACTTTTCATCCTACATTTGCACTAACTCGTTGCAATTAAGGGTATGGGTCAAACAAATGAAAACTACTAATGAGGCAAAAGAGGAAAGTCTTGTCCTATTTTGTGGGCTGTGTTGATTGTACTCCCTAGATAATTGTAGTTCCTTAAAGCTTCTCTTAAATATTTTCATTAAAATCGTCATTGAAGTCTATTATTATCTCTGTTTACTGTAGTTCTTTTTTTTTTTTCAAAGTGAGGTTCTGGGTTACTAGGAGGTTTTGAATGTGAAAAATCATGGGCCCTCAATTTATTTTAAAAAGTTAAATAACGATATTTCAAAGATATGTTAAGGTATCAGAATAATGGATTTTGTACTATAAAAAACCTTAGGTTTAATTCTGAAGTCTGCCTTTGGTACTTACGTGATCTTGGTAAAGTAACAAAACCTGTTCAAAGCAAACTTCCTGCCACTTAGCTCTCAAAATTTTTTCTCAAGCAATACTTCTTGAGGGCTCATGCAGAGGGATGTGAAGTTGGTGTGTTTGGCAACAACTCTCCAGTAAATTCCAAAGCAGATTTTCTAGAGCGGATTCATGTCACTGCTGAAAGTGGGTTGCATATCACCAAATCTCCATTCAGTGAAAGTCATTCAACAGAAGGTATGCAGTTTCTGATGAACTAGTGTATATAAGATTAAAAGCATGTCAGCCAGCACCCAGGTTCTCCAACTTCTGGGCATATCATAGTTACCCAAAGTGCTTGTTACACTGACAGATCCCCAGGCCAAAGCATCAGTGATTTGATTCAATATTTTGCGGGTATGACCTAGAAATCTGCAGGTTGAATAACAACCTAGGTGATTCTGAAGCAGGTGGTACAAGGAATAATCACTCTTTTAAGAATGTGTGTGTGTGCGTGTGTGTGTGTGTGTGTGTCTGTTTTCTACATAAAATACTAGACATATTAGATAATCTGGA
This sequence comes from Homo sapiens, assembly GCF_000001405.40. Taxonomy (NCBI): domain Eukaryota; kingdom Metazoa; phylum Chordata; class Mammalia; order Primates; family Hominidae; genus Homo; species Homo sapiens. The sequence continues at coordinate 61,180,205 of NC_000016.10, forward strand.
CCAAAAAATGTCAAATAAACTTAAATTTGAAAACCCTATAAAACCGTTCATTATCCTGAAAGGACACATTAAACTGTAGTATATTAAAGGACCTAATGTGTTCTTCACTAAAGAAATAAATTTATCTTCATTCAGCTTAATGTTACATAGACTTATTTGTCCACCAAGCCAGTTAGCAACCAACAACTATGAATGCCTCTTGAAGACACTGCTGATGCCCTCCTTGACACTCTGTGCAGCTGGTGTCTCCAACCCCTAGCTTCTGGGAGTGTTTACTACAAAGATTCACACTTGTAGAAGGCTCCTCTCAGAAATGTCTAGGAGGTTACAGCCAGTAGTGTGCTGGATTCAGCTCACACCAGCTCAGGAGAGCCAAAAGTGCTCTTCCCAATTCAGGATCTAGTGATATCAAATGGTGACTTGACATTGATCACATGGGAGTATTTGTACCATGAAAATTGGCAAACTCTGCAAGTCAGGATTTTTTGCTGTTGTTAGTTGATTGTTAATCATTTGCCAATGACTGACTGTTACAGAGGGTGCAGATGCAAAACTACAACTTTTGGGCCTAAAGTTGTTCACACTTTGTGGTGCCCTTCACAGTCCAGGGCTTCCTTTGAGATCAGTTTGAGAGGCTAGATGTCAGAAAAACCATGCCCTTCCTTCGCTTTGCCCCCGACCTCTCCTGTTTCCCTCACTCCCTTATCCATACAGAGTTGTTCTGAGATCATTACCCCAGGAAATCACTTCTTGAAAATCCCAGTCTCAGGATCTGCTTGTGGGGAACCTGACAAGACACAATCTCCTATTGGACCCAGTACTCCACAAAGCACACTTTAAGGAAAACTAAAACAGAAGAATCGAAGTTCTATATCTGTGACACCCAATCCTCCACGAATATTACTTATTTCAGTCACACCTTTGCTTATTTGAATAAGTGTTGAGAAGCATATGTGTCTCATTTACCTGTGGATATCTTCAGTTTAGAAACTTAGCCTCATTCACTCTTTCTATATCTTTTAAGGTCCTCATGAGCATTGTGAATGCCTAAAATGTTTTCTCAAACTGTTTTGCCAATGTCTGGCATGGGCACCCTATTAGGCAGTATAGTGTGTTATTATGGAGCACAGGCTCTGGTTCATAAAGCCTGGGTTCAGATTTTGTTTTACATTTAATTGAACCAGGGCAAATAAGTTTGCCTATTTGCAAAATAGATATAACATGCTTATATCAAATGTCTGTTTTGAGGATTATTTTTCTTTCCAAACTGGAGTAAATATATTCAGCTCAAATATTTGTTATGAGTCCTCAATGTGATAAATAATATTTAGCTTGATAACTGGTACCAAGTTCCCTATTACTACAAGGCATTACTGTCTACTATTACAATGTATCTGGCATGTTATAGGCACTCAATAAAGTTTCTTTACTACAAATACTCTTAAATATTTAGATAATAAACTACTTTCTATATATTTTAGAGAGACAATAATTCACCTAGAGTTGAATTATTTCCCTTTTCTAAATAATTCAAAAGCTACCTCAAATCCCCTGTGGAAAAATGTAAAACGCTTAATAGCAATAAACAGATATCCACAGGTAATTAACATTTTTGGTGATTTAGATGGCCTAAGACATAGTAGAAAAGGATACAAGCAAATCTAAACACAGAAACCAGTACCGAAGGACAATGTTGTTAATTCCATGAGAAAGTATGAGATAAAAATGATGATGTTATTCCGATGTTTACCTATATCTAACAGGGAATATAGCAACTTTTGCTTATTTGGTTTATGCCAAGATATGCCTGGGGAAATGTTATGTGGGCAGTGAGAAATTGAAACACACACACATGCAAACATACTTTTCTTATGTTCATAGATGGTTTGAAATGCTTGAAAGCAGGTTGATATGTCAAGTCAGGTAGAGAGAGTGTATTTTTCTGAGGATTGAGAGGAACAGCAATTTACCTGTCGGATAAGACAATTTCATCCTGAGAGGTATTTAGCAAAGCTACTTGAAAGGGAGGTAGAAGCTGCTTTCTGTTGCTTTTAAACAGAGTTTTTACAGGTAATTGATGAGGGAGATGAAAAAAGAGAGAACGAGAGTGAGACAGAGAGTATTACCCTTCTCAGTGCTTTCAAATTTCAAGTTTATTGCCAATGAAAAGCACACCAGGGCAGTCCTGGTTCCTGGGGGCTGGTTTGTATATTACTACTAATTGAAGGACACTAAAAGGAAACCAGACCTCCCTCCTGTCTCCCACTGCTCCAATATTCCTCCCATTCTTGGAACAAAAAATGTCCCACTGTCTTTAACTGTCTGCTGTTCTAAGTAACTCTCTGTGAATGTAACCACTCACTTTACCCTGAATGTCTGTGCTCTGCAGATCCCAGCTACTGTCTGTGCAATTAGTCATGGCTACAGGGCTTTTATCCTGTGGTGAGAGAAGACACTGTCATCCGTAGCTTCCTCTTGCAGCTGGGCTTAGAAGATGCCTTGAGTTATGCATATATTTTTCTCCTTTGCATAGGCAGTGCATTCAAAATCTAGCCAGCCCACTGAGAATGTGCTAGGTGCAGATTTCGAGTCTTCATAGCAGTTTCATGAGGGAACTTGTTCCACATCAGTCAGGTATTTGGATTGCCTCTCTTACTTTCTCTCTCATGTCTTCCTCTTAACAAAGATTCTTTCTGCAGTAACTACTTAATTGTATTGCCATAATGTAAGTAGTTTTCCCTTTGGCCTCTGAAGATTTGCTGAAAATCACTGACAAAAGGCAGATTAATGGGAGAGAAAGCAGACAAATATATTTGGTCATAGTTTGACATGACTTGGGAGACTTCAGAATGAAGACCCAAGGATACAGAGGAAAGTGTTGGTTTTTATGCTTGGTTCAACATAGTATGGACAACCATGTAGAAATATGATTGGACAGAAAGGGTATGATCTAATGCTAATAGACTGAGTGGGAAAACCCAGAAAAGCTTGTCTGTTTTGATTCATCTTGGCATCTCTGTGAAGCCTTCCTTCCTTCCGGGTATGAAGCAAGACCCTGTCTGGATGGGGAGGTCTTATGACCTACACTTAAACAAAGTAGGTCAGAAAATTTCTTTATGGCCAGTTTTTATACGAAAAGTGGGAGGGGGAATTAAAGTAATATTTTTAGGTTTTATGACTTGCTTTGGGTAAAAGTGGTTCTGGTTTTTATGACCCACTGTGAGGAAGAGGAATTCTAGTTTATATGGCTAGCCTCTAGAGAGAATGAGGCACCAGAGACAGGAGGGCAGAGGAAGCTCAGAGAGAAACTTTTGCTTCTGAGGCCTTTATTTTGGGGTATCATTTCCTGAGCCCCAACAACAGTTAATTCACCCAAATTTTCTACATTTAATTTCATCTGAAACAGGATAGGAATAGCAACCTTCTTTAAAGGGGAAAATGCCATTGGAGGACTGTGAAAAATATGTGCCCATTAATGGTTGGTACTTTTGATTTTCTTCAACCTGCTCCCTTCACTCAGTCCCAGACATCAATGAGGCATACAGTTTGGGTGGAAAATGAGGTGAGGATTGAATCTCAGTGTCTGGACTGCCTACTTGGAGATTAAGCCTGATCAGACTCACTGTTTGAACACTTACATGGTCAAAGAGCTTGCCATATGTATCCATATTTAAACATCAATAGTGTCATGTCTTAGACATGTCAAAACTGAGGCAGGGATTTAAGTAAACTATGTCATTTTGCTTCTAAAAATCAGATCCTGAGTTCTAACTCAGGATCTGTCTGTCTGTGTTAATGCCAGATATGCATTATTTTTTCTCAAACCTGTGGTTGCCAAACTACCTAGTGAGTCTCCAAAACTAACATTAGATGTGAATTCACATAGATGTTTACTATCATTGAAGGACATTAGCACTTACTTCAACCAGGTAAGATCCATTGTTTGTTATAGTCAGCCCATGGACCCCAGGGGCTTTTTGTTTGTTTGATTTTTTCCAAAAGCAATGTGCCTTTTTTTGGTTGCCATCTTGTCAATTTATAACTTTCATTGAGAAAAAAAATGGAAAGTAATGAAAGGTAGGCAAATCAATTATGTCACTTAACCTGTGTGAGGCTTTTTTTCCCAACTTATTTCTTAGAAGAAAGTGTTTTAGCACTCACTTCTTATTTTAAAATATGGAATGTTTAAGTAACTTGATTAAGATAATACAAATAAGTAGAAGGCCAAGGGCTTGATTCATGACCTCGTCCTACCTCTTTCTGATGATATTTGCATTATTGAATGTTGCTCTCAATTATTCTGCAGCATTTTTTCTTGGGAAATATAGTACCCAGTGATCGTGTCACCCTGATGGATTATATAGGTAGAGTTTATGCACACTTTGTAAGTCTAATATGGCAAGAAAGTACTCTCCTTTGAAAAAGAAATTACTGAGTTACTAATTTAAAATTTTATGATCTGGTGCCAGAGCTATAATAACAGTGAAATTTTCAGGCTAAAGCAAAATCATGAGGGCAATAATTGCGTCATTTTCAAGATAGTAGGATATTTCAAAAGCCTCAAGCCACATGTACTTTACTTTGATCACATAAATGTTGAAAAGTTTTACCCTGCTATGCACCAGCACAACCATTCGCTATCTCAAGCCTTATCTCTGCCCCTCTTTTTATTTTAGAAACCGAGCTTTAGGTGATATTTAGTGTTTCCACAAATAGGGCTCTGTGTTGTCTTTGTTTGTCATGTGCCCTTTTGCCTTGCAGGCTACCACTCAACCCGTCCTTCATTCATTAAGCAGATGTGTTTGTTTTAACTAGTTGTGTTCTGTTTTTTGTTTTTTAGATGCAATGCAACTGTAACCCAACTCTAAAAGTATTTAAAAGTAATGGGATTTATTTCTTATAAATAATAAGTCTGGAGGTAATCAGGATCCAGAGTTGATTAAAATGGGTTGATTCAAAGGATATTCTCAAGGAGTCAGATTTATACCCCTTTCCACTATACCTACGGAGAATATACTAAAGATAGAAAAATATTTTCAGGGTCCCAAAATGGCAGTCCTAGTTGCAAGTGCTATATGCTATGAATAAGGAATTATTACTTTGTTGTTGTTACACTAAAGGAGTAAGAAAAACCTTTTACAAAAGTCCCTCAGCAACCTCTCCATTATGTCTTATTATCCAGAATCATGTTACATGCCCAGACCTAAATCTATCATTGATCAAGGAAATGACCCCACCCTGATTGACTTAGAGAAAATCTAATTTACCAGCTGGAACTGGGGCTGGAGCTAGAACTGTCTCTTCTGAACACTTTGAACCTATCGTACTTCAAACAAGAAAGAAGGTGAGGTAGAATGGAGATTGTGGATAGTTATTTGGATAGGTAACCAAACTTCTTTGCCGCTGCATTCTCCAAATTTAAATGAAGATGTTAAATTTTCTGTGAAGTCTTCTCTGGTCAGGCCAGAGAAGGTTGATAATTTCCCTTTCTGCACTATATCTGAACCTTGTACATACTTTATTTTAATTATCCTATTACACTGCACAAAATAAAATTAAATGGGAGTCTCCCCTAGCATTAGCAAACTCCTTATGAAAAAGAGAAGTGTTTTATTCATCTTCATAGCCATAACATCTAACAATGATTGGCTCATAATTGGTTCTCAATGAATGTTTATTAAATATAATTGGAAAGTAAATTCTATTCATAAATATAATCATTTCTAAATTCAATACATCATTTATGATAATATTTAAAAATAATATTTTACTTTGCTTACAAGAAAGAATCAGCACTAGGCAAACATTATAAATGATAGTTAAGAAATTGAAGCTACATGGAAAAACTACAAAGTGAAAAGAGAAAAATAATTATATATTAGAACCTATAGTAGAAAGATGCATAGATGTGCTAATACAAGTATAATAAAATATTAATAGAATTCAGGTGGTAGGTTCAGGTGTGTTCACTGTAAAATTTTTTTCAACTTTTCTTTGACATCTTTTCATAATAAAATCTTAGAAAATAAAATTATTGAAACCGTTCCTTGGTTATAATTGTGTTAACTATTTTGGGAAAATGTTAAAATAAAACAAGAAAATATAGAAAAGATAAATGAAGTCAATTGAGGAGGTAATAGGGTTTTATTTTTTCTCTTCCTTGCAATGATTGTTACAATGTGCTTTGGACAAGGCAATTTTATATTGGAAAAATAGAGACCACATTGAAGTGGAGTTGTAATAGAATCTGGAAATAAAAAAATATATTATGGTTAAAACTAATATCTACATAAAAGTCTACATTTTAGATTGTATATTTAGCAACACATAATAATGTAATACATTAATCATATAGAGAAACACCAAATCGCATTTATAAACCAAGACATAACATCTGATTCTAATCATTTTATATTAAAACAAAAAGTCATGAGTATGAGAAAATATAAGAACAAAACGGGTGTGGAATATGCTCACTATTTCCAGTGTGTTTTTTATTCTTAATTCAGCTTTTATTATATGAAACACTCAAAGTATTTTTATTTCGTAACTATCATGTAGTGTATTCCAGTCACTATGCCCTTCTAACTTTGAACTGTGTCAAAAATTCTCCATCTGCCGGTAACCAAGGAAAGAATGAACTTATTCAATAAGGTTGAGCAGTGTAAACTCTCCTCTATTACTACTTTTTTATCTTTTCTAATATGAGACTGACATCCAGCCAGTATCAACTCTATTTAATTCTCTCCGGTCTATTTATTCACTGATGGCACGTATACCTTTGCACCTAAGAGCCAAGTATAGAATTTACTGACACCTGGAAAGCAGATGTGTCCAGCTAATGGAGTCTCCCTTCTGCTGACCGTGACCTCTCCCTTATGAAGGACACATTTCTGCAGCTGAGACTCACCTCGAAGGTGAAAGGAAGCCCCTTCTGTGAAGGAAATAAGACTGATAATGAGTAAGTGACACCACCATAAAATTAGTGCCCCAATTAACAGATTAATGACAGTGTTGTAGGATTTGGCTTACTGAGAAAACTTAGTACAAAGAGAAGAGTAAATTCACTCGGAATCAAGATTGTCCCTAACACCAAAGAAAATACTTTTCATTTTGCTTTATAATTTAACTGTCTCTTATTCATTTGGATATGTATGTCTTTCCATTAGTGTGTTTGTAATTATAAATATGCACTTATAACCAGCACACACATATATGTTTATATGAGGGGAGAGTGAGACAGAGTGTTGTTGCTGCTGTTGGTAATGAGGATGATTACATTATGTTCCTGTTGCTGATGTGAAGGTTACCACAAATTTCATGTTCTAAAACAATGTACATGTAGTATTTTAGGTTCTGGAATTCAGAAGTATGAAATAGGCCTTTGGCTAAAATCAAGGCTGTCCTTGATGTTAGCAGGGAAGTGTTCCTTCTAGAGCCTCTAGGAAAAAAATCCTTTTGCCTGTCTTTCTCAGTTTCTAGAGGCTGCCCTCAGCCCTTGGTTCATAGCCTCCTTCCATCTTCAAAGTCAACAATGGCTCAGAGAGTTTGTCAACATTGTATCACTCAGACACTTACTTTTCTGCTTCCGAATTCCGCATTTTAAAAAAACATTTAAAGACCCAATTTTGATTACATTGGGCCTAACCCAGATGATCCAGGATAGTCTTTCTCCTTTAAAGTCAGATCTTTAATGTATTAGTCTTTTTTGTATTGCTATAAAGGAATACTGGAGACTGGGTAAGTTATAAAGAAAACAGGTTTATTTGGGCTCATAGTTCTGCAGACTATAAAAGGAGCATAGTGCTAGCTAGTATCTGCTTCTAGTGAGGGTCTCAAGAAGCTTACGATCATGGTGGAAGGCAAAGGGGGAGTGAGCATGTCATATGGCGAAAGAGGGAACAAGGAAAAGTGGGGACAGGGTGCCAGGTTCCTTTAAGCAATCAGCTCTTTCATGAACTCATAGAATGAGAACTCACTCATTACCATGTGGGGGTCACCAAGCTATCTTTGAGGGAGCTGATTTGCCTCTATGAGCCAAACACTCCCCCAAGGCCCCACCTCCAACATTGTGGACCACATTTCAACGTGAGATTTGCAGAAGACAAACATCCAAAATACGTCAATTAGCAAATTCACTTACCTTTTCTATGTAACATGACATATTCACAGGTTCCAGAGGTTAGGATGTGTACATGAGGGAAAAGGAGGCCATTATTCTTTTTACTCCAGTGATTGATACAGATTGTTAGTTTGTATCTTACTCTTCTTTCCTTCTCTCCAGGGAATGTGATTTGCTAATTATTGACTATGTGACTATGTGTCAGGTAATTTACTGAATGCTGGACCTATAGTTACTTCTCTACCATATTCTCTTTCATGAGATAAATAATTTTAAAATATAACTTACCCCTTCAACAAATAAGAAAACTGAGATCCTGAGGGCTAGAATATTTCCAATGACAGAATGATGATTTTTGTTTAAATCTCTTTAACTATAAAACCATCCCATATGCTGGAATCATGACATCTTACCCCTACTAGCCTAGAGAAAAAAAAACGATTTCCCAAATCTTGTGAACTCTGAGATTTGAAAAGAATAAGAAAAACAATGCAAACACATATGGACATCTTCAGCAATCACAGAGATAATGAAATCTCTGGAACACATTTATATGAAAAAGATAGCCTCTGATTAGTAGAGAGCCAAGTTGAAAATGCTTTTTGTCTCCTTTAACGCTGCTGTCGGGAAATTTCTGCAATTGAACTAGTATCCCAATTATTAATTCATTCAACAGTATTTATTAAGCTTGACTATGCATCAAGCACAGCACCAGTGTGTAGGAACAAAATGGTGGGCCAAAACTTGTCTAGTCTCTGTCTTTGTAGAGCCAATGATTGAACTGGGAAAACAAAAATTATTTAAATAGCCTAATACATAGACATTAAGTTCCAACCCTGATAAATGACATAAAAGGGCTAGACATGAAAGCACAATAAATAGGTGATTCATCAAATTATATGGTGGAGCAGATAAAGAAAGATGTCCATAACATGAATTGTAAGGCTAGGCAGGAGGTAATCAGGCTAAGACAGGAAGGTAGAGCTTTACACTTGAGAGAACAGAGTGGACAAAAGGTCTTGGTGGTGAAGGGAATTTGATATTATCAATTTAGGAAACTATTGTGGATGGAGGACATAAAAAAGTGGCAGGGGATGGGGAATAAACATTATGCAAGATCATTTGGGAAAGGTAGGCATGAGGTATGTCATGCAGGCTATACCACTGTTCCCTCCCTAGGAAACACAATTTAGTACCAGAAAGGCAGGTTTGCACTCAGCACAAAAGTGTTTAAGGGTAGGAGGAGGGTCGTGAGCATTTCACCGCAAGGTGATTTTACTTCCAAGACAGTGTTTGAGGAAAATCTATGCTGCTGTCTGTGCTAGGTGAGACCCAGCCTTTCATTGGTAACCATCTGGTATACCAGATTCAGAGCAAGACTCTCATCATTTTAGATCATTCTATTAAGTGAAACCTGAAAAACATGTGCTCCATCCCATGATGCTGAGCTCTGTGTTTGACATGGTTGCTCTCCAGGGAGAGTGGGCCTCCAGGGGCATCAGAAGAGGCCATATTAATCACTTAGGTGATTTACAGCTGTTGTAACATAACGGAACCCCAGAGCCTTACAGAGTTAGCTTTCAGCACATTTAAGGAGGAAAATGATGGTAATTAAAAATGGCATTTCTAATTAGGAAGAGGTTAATTAGTGAGAGGCTGGAAGGACTGAGGAGCTGAGGTCTCCCATTTCCCAATCTGTGGCTCCCTTGCAACTGACTTTAGTGCTGTCTACTTCTCTCTTGCCTACAGGGTAGCGATGGACTTGGGGGCACGCTTGCTTCTTCAATGTGTAGAGCAGCAATATAACATTTGATAAGGAAAGTATCTGATGTCTTAAAATCTGTCACAGTGTTTGATATAAAAAGCATAAGAATATGAATGAACTCCTCGGTCAACTCTAGGTAAACACATTTACAAGACCCAGGAAAGTAAGAAAAATAGGCTTTTGAGGATCCAAGATTGCTGATGCACTTTACTTCACTTCTCAGCCTCTCTCAGAACCTATTTATGCACATTTTATAGACAATCAAAACTGTTGTGATTATATTGAGTAGCAACATAAAAGTGACACCAGATTAGCAAGAGAGATAAATGACTACTACCAGATACTCTGACAGTTGGGAGAAGTGAGAGTGATAGACAAAAATAATTGAGAATAAATACACAAAAATCAAAATAGAAACTAAAATTGAAAAGTAAAAACAAAAAAGTAAAACTTAAAGTAGAATGAAAACTTATTTGTATGCCAATAAGGCAGGCAGTGGATATGCATATACCTTTTGGCACATAGTTACACTAATAATCTATGCCTAACTTTGTCTTTTCAAGATGATTCAAGATTATCATTACATTTATTTTCATCTGTTTAATTACACATACTTGACTACCTTCCTCCTCCTCCTCCTCTTCTTCTTCTTCTTCTTCCCCTTCTCCTTCTTTTTCTTCCCCTTCTTCCCCTTCTCCTTCTTTTTCTTCCCCTTCTTCCCTTTCTTCCCCTTCTTCCCCTTCTTCCTCTTCTTCCTCTTCTTCTTTTAATTGAGACAGAGTCTTGCTGTCACCCAGGCTAGAGGGCAGTTGCACGATCTTGGCTCAGTGCAAGCTTCAGCTCCCAGGTTCAAGTGATTCTCCTGCTTCAGCCACCCTGGGATTACAGGTGTGAGCCCTCACACCAGGCTAATTTTTTGTATTTTTAATAGAGATAGGGTTTCACCATGTTGGCCAGGGTGGGCTCAAACTTCTGATCTCAAATGATCCACCCACCTTTGCCTCCTGAAGTGCTGCAATTACAGGAATGAGACACTGACCCCGGTCACTTGGCTGTCTTCTTAATCTTCAAAAGTTTAATACATCAAAAGAGTATGCATTTTTGTGTGTGTGTTCCATGTGTGTGCGATGTGACATATGACTGCATGTTCTCTTAAATATCAAAATTTGTCAAAATAGAAGACTAATTCCCAAGCATCCCCCTTTCTTCTGATGAGTAAATTTTAGGTAGCATAAGTTGCTTTACGCTATCTAAGGCATCTTTAATTCTCCAAAAGACATACAAGTTTAAGAAATTATAATGTTACAGTTCAATGAACATTTATGCTACTTAGAAAGAGTTTTTTATTTTTTAAATATTGCACTGAGCCCTGTAGAAGTAACTTGACGGCCCATTGAGGAATTTGGTGGGGAGGAAAGAAAGTCCCCATTTACTTGTGAACCAAAACAGTTCTGACCGTATCTGTTTATGTAATCACCCTCTATGTAATATCTAATTGAGAAAAAGAGTTCCAATAATTGTTTTGAAAAGTATTTGAGCTATTGTTTAAGAGAAATAAAATCTGTCATAGATTTTAAAACATGTTATGTGTCGGCTGCTTTATATCCATTATCTTAGATAACAATTACTACAATCTTTGCCAGGAATGACAATCTATTTTCAGATGAAGAAACTGAGGCATAGAGATTAAATGCTTTGTTGAATGTTAGTCTACTCTATCAGGTGGAGCTACAATAGAAAATTTATCATTTATGTCCTTTTGAGTCCCAAACCATTCTTAATGATTAAGTTTATAAATGCCTTCATGTATGTTTAGTAAAGAGAAACTAAGAAGGAAGGAGTCAAGTGAATTCAAATTTCATGCAGTGGCTCCATGCTATCAAAGAATGGGGTCTTTTTATGACAGTAATAGTCCAAGCTTAGGTATGACTCTCATGCTTAGGCTGATTGCCTAGAAATACCAAGAATGCTGCATGACCTACAAACACCACTTCCTCAAGCAAATATGTTCAAAACAGGGAAAAAGGAGAAGAGGTGTTTTAAGTAGTCATTTTCCACATATGTGTTTTTCTTGCCAACTTGAAAAATTTCCTCCAGAAATCCTCATAGAATATACCACCTTCATTATATGAACCCAAACTGTGTCATTAGGCCACCCCTATCTGTAAGAAAGAATAGTAAAGGAGACTAAGATTGCTATGTCATACTTACACCCATTATGATTTATTCTTACTTTCATGGAACATTTTTCAAATTAGTGCCTGATTTATATCAGATTATGTTGTCAAGAAATAAGGAGGGAAATGGCTGTTGAGTAGGCAGCCAATAGCATCTGCCACAAGGACATATTCTGCATTAGACCTGTATTTTTCAAGGTTACTATGGAAGCAAAGTGAGTATGTCTCAGTTACCTAATATTAGTTACTGTGCAGGATGCAGGCTTTCACAAAACAATTAATGCAATTCTAATTTGCACTCTAATAAGGTGTCCTGTTGCTCTAGAAGAGTTAGCTGCAATAACATAAAACATTCCAACATAACGTTCTATCATATGATATAGGATAATGCCATGTGTTACAATAATGATTATTATAAAACTTATTAAACCATTTAATCATTTAGACATATATATAGAGGGAGATGATACACTGATATATACTTTTCACCTTGCCCTCCATAGTCCAATAAAGATCTCCATTTCTTATATAACCAACTCTCATATAATTGAACTAAAGCTTGAAATAAAACTGATATATTCACTGCATCTTAATAGACTCTTAAATTTTCTTAGGTACGATAGAAGAACTAGTTGTATCTGCTGTCCTAAATTAATGAATTTTCAGCATTCTAGAAGAAGGCAGTTTAGAGTAATTAAGGGGAGCTTTGTACAGTTAGAATGCCAGGCTCCAACCCTTCGATTCACCACCTAATGACTGTTCACATGGTCAAGATGTTGCACCTCTCTGAGCCTTAGTTTTTGGCTATAAATTGGAAATAATAGTAATGATACTTAATCTCATTTTATGGTGATTAAATGAGCTACACCTATAATGCTTTTAGCAGAATGTCTTCAAGGAAAGTAGGTTCTCACCACATACAAGTTACATGTTCTAAAATATAAAACACTTGGAATTACAAGATGACTGTCAATTGATACTGGGAGACGAGACAGTGCAGTAGAGTGATTATGAGTGAAAATCTTGAGTTTAAGTAGCTATAGATTCCATCACCCTCTCTGCTACTGTTATTTCAGTAGCATTCATTAATTTACTCAGATTTTCTAAGACTCAGTTTTCAAATTTGTGGAATGAGCAAAATGACCATACCTAGTTCATAAGGATTATTATTAGTTATTATTATTAGTTATTGCAAGGATTAAATTAGTGATTTTATGCAGTGTAATTAAAACGATCCTAATGTAGAAAAAGCACTCAGTAAGTATTTGCTGCTATTATTTACATTAGTGAAAAATAGAAGTTATAGAGAACATTTTATTAGAGAAAGTTAATGAAGCGTTCTTCTCTCTTCTAGGCCAAGTGACAACCTTCTAAGAAAAACTCACAGAACTGGAATTTGGAAGGCAAGTTATGGTATCTCAAACGTGTGAGTAAAAACAAACTAAAAATGAGAACCTAACAAACTAAGTAGTAGTAGAACAAAAGCAGGGGATTGAGAGTAAGCTCCGCTGTAGACTTTGCTTCACTGTAGGTGGGTTTTGCGTGAGCCGGATCCATCTCACCTTGAAATGGATCCAGCCTAAGAGTGCTATGCAAATAACCAAGGTGACTGAGCCTGGGAGTCTATAAGTGGGTTTAATAAGCTGCCATCTGGGGAACTGCAGTTGGGGTCCAGCATATGGTCTAGGGAAATGCTAAGGAACCAAAAAATAATAATTCATCTTAGAAAGAATCAGTGAATGTTTGCCAAATTAAGAAGTTTTTAATGTAAATTATAAATGCTGACATAAGAATGTGTTGGCCCCTTTCTTCCCCACCTCTCAGTTCTGGCATAGAAATAATCAGCTGCCTAAAAATGAGGGTGGGAGAAGGGAGTGAAAAAGCAAAACAAGGTAAAATAACAGCTTTTAAACAAAGAGTTAGTGGGTGCAGCACACCAGCATGGCACATGTATACATATGTAACTAACCTGCACATTGTGCACATGTACCCTAAAACTTAAAGTATAATAATAATAAAAAATAAAAAATAAAAAAAATAAATGACACCTCTGATTTGGTTACAACTGTAATTACTTCTTTGCTGGCATTTAAAACTAAAACAGAAGTAGAATTACAAAATCTTAGGGATCTGTGGATCACAGATGCTATGCAGCCTAACTTTACAGTAAAGAATTTTTCTCAGAAAAAAAAAAAAAGAAAGAAAAAGGAAACAATTAAAAAAAGCCCCAAAACTGTGCTATTCTTAGCCTCCTCCCCAGTGGCAGACTGACTTGGGGGTAGAATTTGCAAAAGTAGAAAAAATAAATAGCAATATGAATTTAAATAATAAAATTTTGATTTTTAAACAAGTATTAGCAAAAAAATTATAAAATGTTGAACATGACAACATGGAGTAGATCCACAAAGTAAGCAATCAAACACATCTGTGGGGCATCTTGGTCTGTGAGGTTGCAACTTCTGAATTAGTATTTTAGGTTTTGTGTTGACTTTCAGTGCTGAGGTACACAGGTGTTTCCTTGCAAATTCTTTGTTAAACTAGTGACTTTCTGATTGTGAGAGACTCTGATACCCATAAATGGAATAGAAGGGCACAGGGGTTATGCTCCCTTGACTACTATATTCTCTCAGATATTCTGAATTATCCTCCAATTTAAAACCAGTTCTAAATTTTAATAGGCAGTAGAACTATTTGCTTGATTTATCTTTTAAAAATTGCAGTGGCATTTTTACTCTTTTACAGAATCATTTTACTTTGCCCTTGGGTGCCAACACAATGTGTCCTTTAGATATATAAATTTGATAAACTGGTTGAATAGAACATTTCTTTTTCCATAAAATAATGACCTCTATATTAACCACTTAAGCCTCCAGGCAAGTAACAGATCTTCATTCTTTATAAATAATGAGACTTTTTTATGGCAGATAAATGTCAAGTATCAAACATCCATTGTCAACAAACCTCTTTGTAGTGGGGAAGTCAGATGTCCAATGATAGCAATATTTCTGCTTTTCTCTCTTTGGACTACTTTGAAGCCAGGGAAATTTTACTTTGCAAGGGAGAGAGACAAGTAAGAACATTTGCAACAGTCATAAACTTTTTCTGAAGTTATTACAGCACAAAGAGGAAAACTTAAAGAACACTAGTTTAGACATCAGTCACTTTTGAGTTTGAATACAACATTCAGCATTGAAAAGCTGTGTGACTATTGACAAGTAACTTACCTTCTCTGATTTTGTTTGTCCACCAGATAATCACACACACACACACCCCTAGTGTTCCAAGTTTTAGTCACTAGCAAAAGTTATGTTTATAACCAATTTGTAAGTTTCTCTTCATTTATATTTACCTTCATTATAACAAAACAGAGACTTCAGATTCAAAGGTTTTTTAAAAAGGAAATCAACTGCAATTTAAAAATATTCCTTGAAAAATTAGGTTTCTTTTTGCTGTCTTTTGAGTTTCCCCATTCCTATAATCCCTTTAATCTTAAAAGTTCAAGAAATATTTACTAATCTAATATTTGGGAAGGAACATAGCATAGGTGAATGGATATGGGATTTGTGTTTGTATTCAGCTGTGTAAGCGTGAGTTATTTTGAACTCATGGTTTCTTAATTTGTAATACTAAAATAAATATATCAAATAGTACTTTTATAACAATTAATATATAAAAGCAAGGTGGCTGAAGAACAGAACAAATAATAACAATAATTCCCATTATTAAATTCTAGGTAGTGTGTTATAAGTTGTGAGCATTATAAATGGCTATTAATTTTGGTACCCGACAAGAAGTTTAAAGTAAAGTAAGAACACAATTAAGGTAGAGAGTTACAGTACAATAAAGCTGAAGCCTGGCTTTATTTTGACTGAGTCATGGCTGTACTCTAATTACATTGTTCTTATGATCACTGACTTTTCTGAGTTCCCATGTCCTCACCTATCAAAGAGCATAATAGAAGCATGCACACTGATAGACATACATATTGAATGGGATTCAATAAAAATGTTTATTAAATACATTTTAATATAATTATTGCTAATATGTATTGTTTCATATATTCATGAGGTAAAGTCACAACTCTTGATTTATCTAATAAGATGAACCCCTAATTTATTAGCAAGAAATCTAGTTTCCTTCTTTTGAGACTCCTCTCCTTCAAGCTGTCCCCAAACTCCTAAGAGTTGCTCTGTCCAAAATTGGAATCTATTCTCTTTTAATAGCAGGTTATAGAGAAAACCCAATTCTGTTCAGTTAATTACTGTCAACACTGTTTGCTATTACACAGGGTCACAATTGAATGATGGTCCTGCACACTCTGATAGATGATCCTTGTCTATTTACTGGCCCAGATCCCTGTGCAGACCATGATGAATTCTTAAGAGACAATGATAGCATGCCCTCAGCACTAAGATGGCCCAAATGTGTCCCAAGTAACATGGCATGCCAACGTTATAACTCTTTGCAACTCCCCTCTTCCTCTTTTTTTCATATAAATAGCAACTTCTAGGAACCATGGGGTCAAAGTAAGTGCTATTATTGTATATTAATATTTCCAGTGACTTTCTCCTTCCAAGGAATAAGAGGGCCTCTCAAAATACAACAGAAATTACTGTACTCTTCTCTCAGGCAATGACAGCCTACTTGCTTTAGCTTTGCATAAATAGAAAAAAAAGAAAGAAAAAAGGAATAACTATTCTAGGTGATACAGTGACATATTCTCTCTACTGCTATATAAATATTAAGCCATCATTTTAAGCAGCCCACCAAAGTGCATTGGACTTAAGCTTTACTTTGGCAGACATGCTATGCAATGAGAAGGCATTGCAATGAGGTACAAATCAAATTAAAAACCGTGGTCTTCCACCACCTCTCAGAGTAGAGCTCAGCACAAGAGGACCATGCATCCCTCATTATTTAAAGGTACTGGTGCACAGAAGCTAAAAATATGTGCTTTATAGGCACTCTTGTGTTTGAACCTATTCTAATAAATTAACTACTGGGAGATCAAGATGGAGAAGAAACAAAGGACTGAATATCATGGTCTGAAGACCAAATTATACCGTATCTTCAGTGGAGACTCAAGGAAGATGTTTTAAGCTGGGAAAGTCCATGATAGTATCTGTGCTTTAGGAAGCTCATTCTGGAAGTTGGATAGAAAACAATACCTCTGCTTAAAGGCTGTTTTCAGATCAGAAATCAGAAAAGCATTTAATATAAAGCTTTAAAATTTCTTATAGAAAATAGAGAAATTTAAAATAATTTGGGGAAAATGTGAACTATCTCTGATAAGGTTTTTCTGTGTCCCTACCCAAATCTCATCTTGAATTATAACTCCCACAATTCCCACATGTCATGGGAGGAGCCCAGTGGGAGGTAATTGAATCATGGAGGCGGGTCTTTTCCAAGCTGTTCTCATGAGAGTGAATAAGTCTCACAAGATGTGATGGTTTTAAAAACAGGATTTTCCCTGCACAAGGTCTTCTTCTCTTGACTGCTGCCATGCGAGATGTGCCTTTCACTTGTCATTATTGCAAGGCTTCCACAGCTATGTGGAACTGTAAGTCTGTTAAATCTCTTTCTTTTGGGTATGTCTTTACTGGCAGCATGAAAACAGACTAATATAGTAAATTGTTACCAGTAGAGTGGGGCGATGCTGAAGATACCCAAAAATGTGGAAGCAACTTTGGAACTGGGTAACAGGCAGAGATTGGAGCAATTTGGAAGGCTCAGAAGAAGAAGAGTAAATGTGGGAAAATTTGGAAATTCCTAGAGACTTGTTGAATGGCTTTGCCCAAAATGCTTATAATGATATGAACAATAAAGTCCAGGCTGAGGTGGTCTCTGATAGAAATGAGGAACTTGTTGGGAACTGGAGCAAAGATGACTATCATTATGTTTTAGTAAAGAGACTGGCAGCATTTTGCTCCTGCCCTAGAGATTTCTGGAACTTTGAACTTGAGAGAGATGATTTAAGGTATCTGGCAGAAGGCAAGGAGGAGCAAGTCACATCTTATGTGGATGGCAGCAGGCAAAGAGAGGGTACCCAGCGGAAGAAATTTATAAGCAGCAAAGCATTCTAGAGGTGATTTGGGTGCTGTTCAAGGTGTTCAGTTTTAAAAGGGAAACAGTGTAAAAGTTTGGAAAATTTGCAGTCTGACAATTCAATAGAAAAGAAAAATCCCATTTTCTGAGGAGAAATTCAAGCCAGCTGCAGAAATTTGCATAAGTAACGAGGAACCAAATGTTAATCACCAAGACAATGGGGAAAATGTAAGTTTGGGAGGAAAAAATGGTTTTGCAGGCCAGGCCCAGGGTCCCTCTGCTGTGTGCAGTCTAGGGACTTGGTACCCTGTGTCCCTGCCGCTCCAGCCATGACTACAAGCATCCAAGATACAGCTCGGGCTGTTGCTTCAGAGGGTGGAAGCCCCAAGCCTTAGCAGTGGTGTTAAGCCTGCATGTGCACAGGAGTAAATAACTGAGATTTGGGAACCTCCTTCTAGATTTCAGAGGATGTGTGGAAACGCCTGGATGCCCAGGCAAAAGTTTGCTGTAGGGGCACCGGGGGGCCCTCATAAAGAACCTCTGCTAGGGCAGTGCAGATGGAAAATGCGTATCAGAGCTTTCACTCGGAGTCCCTACTGGGACATCACCTAGTGGAGCTGTGAGAGGAGTGCCACAGTTCTCCAGACCTCAGAATGCTAGATCCACCAACAGCTGGCACTGTGTCCCTGGAAAAGCCACAGACACTCAATGCCAGCCCATGAAAGCAGCCAGGAGGGGTGTATACTCCACAAAGCCACAGAAGTGGAGCTGCCCAAGACCATGGGAACCCACCTCTTGCTTCAGCGTGACCTGGATGTGAGACATGGAGTCAAAGGAGATCATTTTGGAGCTTTAAGATTTGACTTCCCTGCTGGATTTTGGACTTGCATAGGCCCTGTAGCCCCTTTGTTTTGACCAATTTCTCCCATTTGGAATGGCTGTATTTACCCAATACCTGTACCCCCATTGTATCTAGGAAGTAACTAACTTGCTTTTGATTTTACAGGTTCATATGCGGAAGGGGCTTGCCTTGTCTCAGATGAGACTTTGGACTGTGGACTTTTGAGTTAATGCTGAAATGGGTTAAGACTTTGGGGGATTGTTGGGAAGGCATGATTGGTTTTCAAATGTGAGGACATGAGATTTGGGAGGGGCCAGGGTAGAATGATGTGGTTTGGCTGTGTCCCCACCCAAATCTCATCTTGAATTGTAACTCCCACAATTCCGATATGTCATGAGAGGAAGCCAGTGGGAGGTAATTGAATCATAAGGGAGGGCATTTCCCATGCTGTTCTTGTGATAGTGAATAAGTCTCACAAAATGTGATGTCTTTAAATATGGAAGTTTCCCTGCACAAGCTCTTCTTCTCTTGTCTGCCGCCATATGAGATGTGCCTTTCGCCTTTTTTCGTGATTGTAAGGCCTCCCCAGACACATGGAACTGTAAGGCCATTAAACCTCTCTCTTTTGTAAATTGCCCAGTCTCAGGTATGTCTTTATCAGCAGTGTGAAAATGAACTAATACAATCTCTGACATTAAAATATTATAATAAAAGCAATTTTGAAATATTCTAAAATCAATCTACAAGTATAATCAATGAAATATACAATTCAGTAGGAGTTTGCCATCCAGAATTTGAAACTTAAAATATGGCTATTATATGTAAAGTAGTGTAGCATTGGCAGAGGGAGAGAGAAACAGACTCATGGCAGATTAAATAAAGTATGCAACACAAACAAAGGTATTTTACGACTTTAAACCATTAAAGAGGGACCAATTCAATAAACTGTTCTGTGAAATTGGCCAACTATTTGAAAGAAGTATAATGGTAGATTATTATTTCACATAATATACATAAGAGTATCAATATGAGGTAAATATTTTAAGACTAAAATGAAAGCTAACATTATTTGAAATAATGCATAAATATTTATGTAATTTTTGTACAAAAGGGATTTTTGAATAAGATACCTGATATAGTTTGGCTCTGTCCCCACCCAAATCTCATCTTGAATTGTAGCTTCCCCAATTCCCACATGTCATGGGAGGGACCTGGTGGGAGGTAATTGGATCAGAGGGGTGGGTCTTTCTCATGCTATTCTCATGATAATGAATAAGTCTCATGAGATCTGATGGATTTATAGAGAGAGGTTCCTCTGCACAAGTCCTCTCTCCTTTGCCTGCTGCCATGTAAGAAGTCCCTTTGCTCATCCTTTGTCTTCCATCATGATTGTGAGTCCTCCCTAGCTGTGTGGAACTATGAGCTCATTAAATCTCTTTTTCTTTATAAAATACCCAGTCTCAGGTATGTCTTTATTAGCAGTGTGAGAATGGACTAACACAATATCAAAATCAGAAAGTACATGGGAAAAGTTGATAAAAATTTTAAAATATTTGTAAAGATATATTTGTGTATAAATATGTATAAAATACAAAAATTAAACAACACATTTCATGTGTATAAATCTCTTTTAAATAAATGAAAACAAGGTAAACATCCCAATAGCAAAATAGACATAAAACAAATAATTCACAAAAGACAAATGAATTAATGCAAACAGTTAATAAACGTGTAAAGCAAACTGAATTTTTTTAGTACATCCAGAGATTTGAGGATAAGAATAGGGATTATCATATTTCCCTTTAAAATCTTTAAAATGAAATTTTCCATTGTGAGAATAGGTGCAGGGATATAATTTTATAAAATTTTTGTAGGAACATAAATGGAATTCCTTCTCCAAAGGCAATTACTGCTAAGAAATATTTAGAAATATGTATTAACTTCTAAATTGGGAGAACAGGAGACGGAGAGAGAGAGAGAGAGAGAGAGAGAGGGAGAGAGAATAATCCAGGCAAGTAATAAAATGTGGTTGAATTAAAATATTGAACTATGAAATTTAGCAGAGGAGACAGATTTGAGACCTAATTTCAATAACAGGTGTAATAGGACATTGTCAGATGTTCACGGGAGCCATTGTTCAATCTGCACCTACCCAGAAGAAAGACTTTCAACTTCCCAACCACCAAAAGCAAATTTAATTCTATCAGACTCATGAGGAATCTCAAGTTCACTACGCATTTCATTAAAAAAAGGAGGGCTTTACAAAGCAGCCACTTAATAAAAGTCATCCAATTGAATAGTTCCCTTCCCTTCTGCTCCCACCCCTAAAGTTTTCCAAAATTTTCCAGGATCAAGAATTTCATTTTACTTTCTCATAAGTCCATTGTCAATCCCAGCATTACCTATGGCAGTGCTGCAGTGATTCAATGTCTGTAAGAAAATTGAAGCTTGAACCTCCTTGGAAAAGCATGTCTTCCTAAAGATTTTAACCTTAATGGCTTATCAAATGCTTCATTTAAAAAGGCAAGTCTTTCCATTGATAGAATGCGAAGAGGTTCTACTCTCAAAGGACATAACGTTTTTTAATTTATGAACTTATTTTGTTACCTTCAAATTTATTTTAAGAAAACAACCCTGGATGTGAGTGAGTATTTCTCTATAAGAGTCTCCAAATGTTTTCTAGAATAGCATGGAATTGTATTCTAGAAAACCATAATAAGATATAAAACATACAAATTATAGTAGAAGCATATGATAAAATTATATGCTGCGATTACAAGTAATATTTTAGAAAATATTTTATGTATACAGACTGAAGGAGGAAAACTGCAAAAATTATTATTTTGTTATTGTTTTTTATGTTATCTGTGAATGGAAATTTCAAGTCAATTTTCTTTATTCCTGTATCAAAGAATTGAGAGTGGACAACTTATGTCCTCAAATCCCAAACCAAAAAAAAAAAAAAAAATCAATTGCATTTAAATTATTCTTGACTTGAAGAACACTGGGTTCCTATATTCACCAGTATGTATTATGAATACCTTGCTGCTATCATTGGTAACTTTTCTTCTATAGCCAATTGTAAAAATGCCTAGAAAGATCAATATTGCATTAACATTTTGGTCATTTAGATTTCTTTTCAGTATGAATTACATTGGTACTTTCTTTCCAATGACAACTGGCTCTTAGCGTTTTTTTCCCTAAGAATAAGAATAAAAAAAGATAACATATAACATACATGCAAACTACTATATTTGTTTCATGCTTTGATTTTGTAGAAACTTTGAAATACAGTTCAAGCAGGTATTTATGTTGCATTTAAATCAATCTAACTGTCAAGGTTATTCTCTGTGACTTATAATGAAATCCCGCTTAAAGTAGGTAAATGCATTCAAGAAGATTGCAAACACATGTGAACTTACAGATTCCTATTGCTCCATTTATGACTAGAATGAGTGAGACCAGAGAAACAAAGTGAGTGGCAGTATTTAGGAGAGATTGCAGGGGCACTGGTTTCCAGTCCAGTGTTTTGTACAGCACACTTCCCCAAATGTTCTCAAATTCCCCCACACATTTGCTGAAGAAACTGGAGAAAAAGGCACATCAGAGGAGGTAGCTAACCCCAGGCCCATAGGCTGTATTTTCATTGTTTAACTTGACATAGTTTATGGGCTCATTTATCTCTGACCATCATCGTCTCCTTATTAGCTTTTATGTAAAAGTGCTTTTTAAGGCATTGAACAAAATTCGTGGAATATATACATAAATGAGAATAGTAAAAGTAAATAAAAGACCAAATGAGATTTTACTTTAAAAATCAGTCATTTGGCCTGCAGATATAATATATCAATAATAATTCAATTTAAAAGTTTCTAACTCCTTAACCTCAGGTGTGTAAAACGAAAAAAGTATTAAGACTAGCAAATTTTAGTGGTATTATTTTTTTAAAAAATTTGTTTACCCATGGCCATTTTGCCTTTTAGATGAATGATAGAAATGTTTTGAAAAGATTCAGCAGTTCTTTCCCAATGTCTTTTTTTGAAGAATTGTATTTGTTTTTTAGATTAATCTGGGAAGAATTGGCATGTCTCACATTTAGAATCACACACTGTCTCTCCAATTACTAAAATGACCTTTTATATTGCCCCATAGAGTATTGCTTTATTTTACAGAACCAGATCATTAATTTTAATTGTACATATTACTAAGGTTTATACATTTTGAGCTTTTTATAATTTATGTATTAAATTGAAATCTTAGTCTAATTATTTATTTTTACTATTAAAATGTTCTATTTTTAAACAAACTTTCTTATTAGCTTTAATAGACTTTTGCCAGTAGAATAGCTGTGTTTATTTGGTAAATAATCATATCATTAGCAAGCCATGTAATTATCGTTTCTACCTTTCTAATATCTACGTTAATTCTTATCTAGTCTCTCATGCAACACAGAGTTAGTGAGCTCTACTCCTCCAAGGAAGTCATACTTTTTTAATGTTTCTGAAGCTACAATCCTGAAAAAGAAGATATCTTTCTTTTTTGTGTCCAAAGCCTTCTCAGTCAAGTGAATATTAATAGGGTTTTACTGTATCACCTGCAAGCTCATCCATCTACTGAACACTTCACCCTAGTGTAAAACTTCTTCCACTGCTAAAGCAGAAAGTAAATATTAATAGCTTCCAAGGAAAATAGTTGAAGGTCCAAAGTAATCTCCATTGAATCAAGAACACATGCAAATTTATCCATTCATTTGCTACACTATGTAAGGCAGATATTATGCAAACAGAATAGCAGCTATATATCATACAAAGACAAAAACAAAATGCCTTACATATCTTCAAGTTGTTCACACATGTTGAGTAGTGCCTTGTACAGAAGAATCATCCAAATATCTTTAAAGTAATACCTACTGATGCTTGGAGTCCACCCCTCTAATTTTTTTTTTTTTTTTTTTTCGAGACAGAGTTTTGCTCTTGTTGCCCAGGCTGGAGTGCAATGGCACGATCTTGGCTCACCACAACCTCCGCCTCTGGGGTTCAAGCAATTCTCCTGCCTCAGCCTCCCGAGTTGCTGGGATTACAGGCATGTGCTTCCACACCCAACTAATTTTGTATTTTTAGTAGATATGGGGTTTTTCCATGTTGGTCAGGGTGGTCTCAAACTCCCGACCTCAGGTGATCGGCCTGCCTGGGCCTCTGAAATTGCTGGGATTAGAGGCATGAGCCACTGCGCCTGGCCTCCAAAAAACATGTTTTAAATGCTCTGACTTCTGCTCGGGATATCCTGAGATTCATTATCTTTTTAAAATGTTAATTAATAGACTTTATGTTTTGAACCATATTGGGCTCACAGGAAAATTGAGTGGAAATTACAGAGAGTTCCCATACCCCTCACAGTCACCACCACCCTCCCCATCCAGATTAATTATCTTGTTAGGGGATTGTAGTCATGATTAAATTTGAGCTTCTTCACTTAAAACTGAACATTCCAGGAAGTTCTTTACATATGAAATGTAAACCTCTAGAAAAAAAGGGTATGATTATTCAATACCATTATCATGTCCTTACACATGAAACATCTTGGGAGACTAAAGGAGGAGTTAATGAGACTCTAGAGTTATTTTATTTCCTCTTTTCACAGCATACCAGGGAGAATATATGTCAAGAGACTAGTGCTGAGAATTTAGAACATAAAAATAAGGTTACTGGTTGTGTTGCTCTTCATTTTTCTAATTTTAAGAATCCTTATGCTGTTGAAAATACTTATGGTACTTGGCACTTGTTAAAGAAAGTCACTTAATGTTAAAATAGCTAATAGATATAGTTTAACATGAAAGAAATATTGTTTAATTTGCTATTTTATACTATTTAACCAGATTCTTCATTAATTTTTTTAATCCAATAACCATTGTAGGAAGACAGTGCAAGTGGTAACTATTGTATATAAATTTTATGACCTATGTGAGGTTAAAAAAAAATCAAGAACAGAGGTAGAAAAAAAAAGAATTGAAATAACCCCTGTTGATTTTATGCACAAATAATTCTTACATTTTTACGTTATGCTATGCCAATATATTGACAGATTATTAAATTTATGGTCAGAAGTAAGGGCTACACTCACTTTCTACAATTGTGTCTATATTCATTTCATAGGGTTGCTATAACAAACCACGATCTAGGTGGCTTGAAGCAAAAATAATGTACTGTCTCACAGTTGTGGAGGCTAGAAGTCTGAAATCAAGTTATTGGCAGGACCATGATCCCTCTGAAGTCCCTGGGGAACAATCTGTTTTGTGTCTTTCTCTTAGTTTCTGGTGTTTGCTGGCAATACTTTGCTAGTAGATGCATCATTTTAACGTCTTCCTCATTGTTATGTGTGGTTCCCTGTGTATGTCTGCCTCTGTATCTCTTCCCCTCTTCTAGTAAGGCCACAAGTCATATTGGATTAGGGGCCCATCATCCAGTATAACCTCGTCTTAACTAATCACTTCTGCACAACCCTATTTCAAAATAAGGTCGTAGTCTGAGGTTCCAGGAAGGACATAAATTTTTGGACGTTTTTTTTTTTTTGGAGACGGAGTCTCGCTCTGTCACCCAGGCTGGAGTGCAGTGGCATGATCTTGACTCACTGCAACCTCCTCCGCTGAGGTTCAAGAGACACTATTGAACCCAGCAGAGTGATCTGAGGCAAATCTCTTACAATTGCATGTAATGTTAATGGACTGAATGTTTGCATCCCCCAAAATTTATGGGTTGAAACCCTAACCCCCAATGCATATTTGAAACTGGAGCCATCAGGAGGTAATTGGGGTTAGATGAATTCATGAGGGTAGGGTCCTCATGATGGAAATAGTGTCCCTATAAGAAGAGGAAGAGATACATCTCTCAACACTCACATACTAAGGAAAGAATATGTAAGCAAGCACACAGTGAAAAAGCATCTGTCTGCAAACCAGGAAGAGTGCCCTCACCAGAAGCTATCTCAGACTTCAATTCTCCCAAAATCTAAGAAAACTCAATTTGTTTTTTGAGCCACATAATCTATGGTATTTGTTATGAAAGTCTGAGTTGACCAAGACAGATTTTGTTACTGAGAAGTGGGGTGCTGCTATAACAAATACCTAAACATGTAAAAGCAGCTTTAGAACTGGATATGAGTACAGGCTGGAAGAGTTTTAAGGTACATGCTGAAAATATGAATGATACAGGCATCCTGATGAGGTATCAGACAGAAAATGAGAAACATGTTACTGGAAGCTGGAGAAAAGGTTGTTCTTGTTATAAAGAGGAAAAGAACTGTGTTCTGATGTTTTGGGGAAGTTACAACTAGTGTACAATGAAATTGGGTAGTTAGATAAGGAGATTCCTAAGCAAAGTGTTGAAAGTGTGCCTTGGTTCCTCCTGACTGCTTATAGTAAACATGTGAAAGAACAGAGAGAATTTGAAGGAGAAATTGTTACTCAAATGGATCCAAGTCTTAAAAATTTGAAAGGTTCTCAGCCTGTTCATATTGGGAAACATCAGAAAGCATATTTAGAAGATAAAACCAAGGGTGTGGTAAATTATGACTTGGAAAAAAGCTTATGAGATTATATAAGCGAGAATACTTTAAGTTTGAAGTAAAGGAGATGAAGACAAGACTTCACTATGGATCCATGGGTGGGGGACTACCACACAGGGCCACTGAGGCAAAGCCACCTAGAGCCTTGAAAGTGTGACTTCCATCAGACAGAGCCACAGGGGCAAGACATGGCCCAGAGCCATGAGGGTGATGCTATTGCCCCACTGAGCCTGGAGGACAGAGAATCAACCAAGAAAGTTAATCTCGAACATTACAATCTTTAGAATTCCCCTTGCTTGGTTTTGCACTGGCATGGGACTCGTTACTCTTTTCTTTTTTCCTATTTCTTTCTTTTGGAATGAGAATGCCTATTCTTTGCTTGCGTCCGCATTGTATTTTGGAAGTACATAACTTGCCTGGTTTCACAAGTTCACAGCTAGAGAGGAATTTTGCCTCAGGAAGAATCGTACCTCAGTTTTCATGCATTTCTGATTTTGATGATATTTTGAATTTTGGAATCAAGAGTTGATGCTCGTATGAGTTAAGTATTTTGGGGCTGTTGGGATGGAATGATTGTATTTTGCATGCCCTAGGACATGAATGTTGGGGGGTCAGATATAAAGCTACAGACTAAATATTTGTGCTCCCCAAAATTCACATGTTAAAGTCCTAACCCACAATGTGATGGTATTTGGAGATGGGGCCTTTAGGAGATAATTGGATTTAGATGAGTCATGCCAGTGAGATGCTCATGATGAGATTAGTACTTTTATAAGAAGGCAAAAAGAGAGATTTCTCTCTGTCTGCCCTCCTTTTTTCTCTCTCTCTCTTTTGTTTCCCTGTCTCTCTCTCTCTCTCTCTCACACACACACACACACACACACACTTCACACACTGAGGAAAAGCCACGCATGCACACAGCAATAAGGCATTAATCTGCAAGTCAGAAGGAGCCCTTCCCAGAACCCGACCATGCTTGTTCCCTGATTTCAAGACTTCCAGGCTTCAGAACTCTGAGAAAATAAATCTCTGTTGTTTAAGACACTGAATCTATGGTATTTTGTTATGACAGCCCAAGCTGATGAAGACTTATCTTATTTATGTTTTGTATATAAGAAAGTAATCCTACTTACCTGAAGGGTTGTTTGAGATCATGAAATAAACACGTTTATTGAACTGAATCTGCAAAAATATTGAGGGATTATTATGTAACTAGCTCTATCTAGGGTGTGTTCTAAGCATCTAAAAACAATGAAGAAAAGAATGCTGCATTTGAAGTTTTTGAAGTTTAATGTGCATTACTTCACTAACCTTTAGTTTTTTTCATATTAAAAAACGACACTGTGAATTGTCCCAAAGAGGACTAGTGAGCATTAAAGAGATGGTACATTACATGCTACCTATCACATAGCAGGTGCTTCATTGATGCTAATCTCCTCTCCCTCTCCAGTATTAATAATATTAACTTCATATTAATATAGATTTTTTACTTCATATGTAATTTGTGTTTTTTTAGTCTACATTCCATGTATACACTAACATGTAACATGTTTATGGTCTTAGTTCTTGAGTTTCAGAAAACAATGTCCAGTCTAATGATGTTAAATGTCATCCCATTGCCTACAGATTCAAGTTCAAAGCATTTATACTGGCATTTAAGATACACTATAACCCCAAAGTAAATTTTACAGCTCATTTATTAAAATTTTTTTCTTCAGAATACCTGGAATTCCTATTATGCCTTCAGCACATTCTATAACTCTCCAAAAGCCATACCTTTTACTGTGTCCTCCCCTCTACCTGAAATGCTTCTCATTGATGACATTTGTAATCTGGAATTTAGGATTCAACACTAGGCAAGGCAACCTCTGTTCCTTTCTGAGTTTATTGGGAAACTGAAATAATTAAATAAGGAACTACAGTATAATGTCATGAAACCAGGATAGGAGAAGTGAAGTCCCTGGGACTCAGAATGGAGCATCTAATGAAGGCTTCATGGAAACTGTATTTGATCTCTGATCTCAGGAAGGAAGAAGTAGTGGAGGATGGAGAGAAGAATGACAATAATCTGTGCAAAGAGTATAGAGTGTTTAAAGTCTTGTAGGCAAAAAGACAGTTTGACTTTTTCATGAAACTGAAAGAAATTTATTCTGATTGGAGCATGGAGTTCGGAGGAGAAAAAGTGGCGTAGTCATAAGTGATGAAGCAGGGGAGCAAATGAACAGCTAGATCATAAAAGGCACAGTGAGAGAAATTAAGGACTCTGTATTTTAGGTCAATGAGGAGCTATTTTTTCTCTGACTGATTATCATACAACAAAGCCAGGGTCCTTCTTATTGAGGCTACCACTAATTCATACTCTTTCTCCCAAACTTCTACTCTGTCTGATTTCTACATTACTCAATAAATACTTGCTGAATTGTGGTGTAATGTGAATGAAGGGCAGACTTATTCCAAAAAGGAACAATCAACTCCATCTCCTTTAAGTCATTCACTTGTTTATCATTCTCCAAAGGCTTAGGTGAGAAAAAAAACTTGAAGTCAGCACATCCTCTCTACTGCAAGCAAAAAATGATCTTTTAAGAATTTGAATAGTGTTTTTTGAACTCGCTAAATATGTCAGTCTTCTCACTAAGGCAAAGCAGTTAAAAAGTTGGAACCATCAAACACTGCCAAGCAATAATTTGAGTTCTCTCTGTTCACTTTTCAATTAAAATTTCAATTTAATAAATGGAAACACATTATCTGATTTTCAAATAAAAGAAATCAATAAATCTCTATGATACGGATAACCAGTGAGTCAACTCTGAGAAAATGGTTTGTATAAATTGGCTAATATCTAAATAGGGCTCCAATAATATTTTTAATGGAAAGATGAACCTAAACAAACAAAAACGTAGATAAGAGATAAAATGTAATTTCACTCTTCTCAGAAAAAAGGGAAAAATAATAAACCAAATTAAAAAAGGATATGATTGAGGGTTTGTGTTAGAATTAATAAAAGGAAAACACCAATATCCAAAGTTGTATATGCCATCATAAACTTCTTTATATCTGTGGTACTTAGATTTTATTTGCTCTCTATGCCTGCATTCTTCCTAAGGTATTTTCCCTGAGTTCAGTTGCATTGGAAAGTAAGATTATATTGCTATTGAGTTCATTTTCCTAGTATATAATACCAAACTGGGTTGCAATATCTGACAGATTTATGACTATTTGCTGAGACGTATTTTATAAAATGGCAGAATAGAAGGCATTTTTTTTCAATCTGCTCTTTGTAGCAAACCTTCACAGAAAAAAAAGACAGTTTTTAAGAAGGAAGAGATTACAATTTTTTCAAAGTCTTTTTTGTCTGTAGCAAAGGATATTTCTGAATAATATGTTGTAAAATAACATATTACAGATGAAACACACAATTCATTGCTTATCCTATAGAGAAAGACACCTTCCTGTCTCTGCTAAATGTGTGAGTTCATGGGTATATAAAAATAGAATGCACTTGACAATGAAAGTTACAGGCTGATGGATGACACCCCATTGTCAAACAATTGATAGCTAGTGAGGAATTATAGTGACCTTGTAGTGCAGCACAAATAATTCAGCAGCCCCTGAAGTATGCTAAGCAGACTAGCTTCTCTCTTAGGGGTGCCTGGGTCACTTAAGTAGGGGAAATATATATCTTTAATTTCCTTTAGAAACATTGTAATCACCTCTAGGCAAGTAAGAGAGTGGGTAATTTCAAGGCAATTCCTTAGGATGCCTTTTAAAACATTATTTCATCAGCAATGGTTAGGTATAGCCCAGATCACCCTAGGAAATTGGTCAGAAAGACACTGGAATAGAACTACACGTATTTAAATGTTATCTTCCTAATCAAAAAACAGTGGTACATAATAGATTATATCAGCTATGATCTCAGCCAGACTTGAGAACAAAGATGGGTTTACCACTTGCTAGCTGAAGGTGCTTAGGCACACTTCAGTTTTCTCATTGATAAGGGAATAAAAGGCATCTTTCAAAGATTTATTGCAAGGATTGGACATCATAATGTGTATGTGGGACCACTCCCACATACACTCCCACATTAGAGGTAAGATAACTTATCTCATAGCACTGACAAATACTCAGGAGGTGGAGCCACCAGGAATCTGCAGCAAAAAAGTGTAGGGACCACATGGGAAAGAGCCATCTAGAATCATTAAAAGACACATGGCTTTGTTATTTGTTGCTACCCTTAAAAATGTTTTATATAAAATGAAAGGAGTATTTTTAACTCTTTTGAACATTTTGGGTGAAGACTCTTCTTTGGTAAATGCTGAATTTGGAGATGGATTTAATGCATATATGTGATTATTATTTAGGAGAAGAAAGTAAGGGATAGGAAGAAAAAGATGTGGGTCATCAGCTTCTACATGGGAAAGAAAACCATAGGTGTCCTTAAAATCATTCTGAGTGAGAGAGGAGATGCTATGAGAGGTAAGCTGAGCCAGAGGTCATTAAAGGGAATGAACTATGCCTGAAAGCAGATGATTTTGTACATGAAGATCCCAGGTTCTCACTGGTGCTTAGTAGACTTTTGGCTATCTCCTTTTAAGCAGAAGTCACTGAGAGACATGTAGATATTATCACATGGATACCCAGGGAATACAAGATGAGAGGCATCAAGCTGTCCTTCATACTCACAGGCAAAGCAAACCACTGGTGGGGAATGAGTAGGGCACCTACAATGGAACAGATTATTAGAAAAAAACTCCATTTTGACCAGATATAATTTGTGCCTAAAAATCAGCTATTCCAGAAATGCACTGAGAATTATATTTTTTGAGTGTTCAGTTGGACATTGGATTGTGAGTTTTACATTCTCAAGAGGCTCACCTTCTAGAAGTTCTCACCACAATAAACTGTGTAATTGGAAAGGATTGATCACACCAATTCAGAGAGGAAAAGTGCAGACCAGGTTGGAGCTCAATGTTGAAAATTTTGGGGCCTTCAGGCCAGTTTGGCCCACATGAGTTATGACATGGAGGCGGAAGAAAACTCTTTTAGTCCTAGTCATTCATTCTATTTAATGGAAGACATTTACTAAGCATGTAAAATACGGTAAGAACTCTGCCGGCTCTGAAAATATAGAGTCTGATAAGGTTTTTTTTTAAAAGATAAAGGAATGTGAAACAACAACAACAAAATTCTTAAGGAGTATGTAAGAGAATCTCAGGGGATTCCTACAAACATAACAATTTTTATCTTTTTAAAGGCTGTTACACAATCCGTCTGAATGTGTCTGAGTACCAGTCAGCTCTGTAAGACCTACGAGATTTCTATTATTCTCTGATGCCCCCTCATTTAGCAAATGGTGTGTACAATGTATACTTTCAATAAAACTAAACAAAGATCAACACATACTCTGGCAGCAACCCTACCACCAACAAACTTGAAAGGCAAAAGGCAGTTTGCCATAAAGATGTTTGCTGAAAAAAATAAATCCCATTGACATCTCAAAAGTACTCTTCAGAGAAAATAGTTTACATGCCTGCTTTTTTTTTTTTCTAAGTAGTTTGCCATCTCTTTCACAGACAAAATGATACTTTATTTTTCTTTTTTCCCAGGTAAAATTTTTTCAAGAATTCTGCCAAATCCTTTGCAACCACAAGCACAGTGATTGTTCAGTCGATGGTGGCACATTTCTTTTAATTTCATTGTAATCAGAAATACATGTTTTACTGAAAAAGCAGTAACTAGGAGCACAAAAACGTCTGCTAACTAATATAATAATTATTATAATAGCACTTGTGGAGCACTTAGATAGCCCTGGACCTTTGTTCTGTGTTGTTTGTGCAGTGTCCTTGGTTGGTTGTTTTAGGGTTGGAAAGAGATTTAATTATTATCTCTATTTCATAGAGATGGAGGAGACTAAAAATGAATACATGACTTTCCCATAAACCTTGACCTTTCAAATAAGGAGTCTTGAACTCTCTTTAGTATCAAATCTCTTTTTCATTACACTATAGCAAATCCCACTTAGAAATAAACTTACTTAGTAAATTTCATAATTTTTATCAGACGATTTTTATTGATGGCATACACCTTTTTTGGCTGCCTATTTTGAAAGGTTAGTATTGACTGGAATGCTTTTTTTTTTATAGAAATGTCTTTCAAATATTTCCATTTTGTTGTGCCAAATATTATTTTCAGAGTTTGTGGTTTACAAAGAATAAGTAAGTATCCCAGGGGTTTGGGTAACACCATTATTTTCTCGTGTATAAAAAGGAGGTAAGACTAGGATCCATTTCTTGTGGCTGTACCTGGGATTAAGTGAATTGACAAATATGAAGCCTTTAGCACAGTGCCAGGGACACAGTATATGCCCAACAATGTTGGGTTTGTTATTTTTTAATGCAACAGGAGATAAAAGGAGTAGATAAGTAACCTAATTAATATCAAACAATTACTTGGCTATATGGTCACAGATTATTTAATGAGTGTTTACTGCAAGTTGTCCTGTCTCATACTCATAGCAACCAATTTGGGTAGAAATGTAGTTCTATTTGGTTAGAAGTTGAGGATCCATTTAGGTTAACCCCAAATCCCATGGCTAGTGTCTGCCAGAGCGGGTGTATGAATTTCAATTCTGCAAACATATCAATTAGTATACATTTTGTATCAAATAATAAAAATCCAAATCAATGGGCTTAAACCATCAGGAAATGTATCAGCAGTACACATCACTGGAATTCTGGAGGTAGGCCAGTTTCTGCTTTTCACCTAAGCTAGGTGTTGTGACTCCATTTATTCATTTATCCATTTATCTACACATTTCCCATCTTGCCTGTCTTTTTGGTATCAGCATCATGTTCCATCAGAAAGTTGTGTACTCAAGAATTTCAAGGCTTCATCTGGATGTGACAATATGCAAAGGAGAGAACATGCTTCTCCCAGCCTTTCAAGCAATAGTTCACCAAAATTCAATTTATTGATCACTTGTCAGTCCCTGTACAATGATTTTATCTAGGAAAATGAAATTTTCTGATAGGCTTAGGACTTATAATGTACATATCCACACACACACAGAAGCAAGTAGATGAAAATCATAAGATATTAAAATGTTAATTTTCTGAGAAAATATATTTCATTTCCTTCTAAAATGGGTTTTAAACAGTAAGCAACCAAACTAGTTTATTCAATGCTTATTCTATTATCCTCTGTGAGTCCTTGGTCCAGATTCTTGCGTTAGAAAAGTAAAACAGGGAGACAGGTCATTCACAGGACATTCACCGAGTGAACACAATTTTTTAGCTAGCTTGACTTTGCCCCCATAGCTTACCGATTGCATGACTTTAGTGAAATGGCTTAACATCTTTGAGCCTCTGTTTCTTCATCCATAAAATAGGTTTCTGTGAGGATTGATTCAGACAATCAAGCTGCTTGACAAATTTGCATTGTTGTCAGGGAGCCGAAGTAAAACTCAGGTAGAGAGAAGGCTGTGAAATCTGTTGGACTGGGATCACATCTAGGCTTGCACATATTCCTAAGCTTCTGTGCAATCTAAAAACAAAACAAAACTAAACTAAACTAAAAAAAATACACAAACAAAAGCAGCATCACATTTGTTGTGAAGATACAATAAGATAATACACAAAAAGTATTTAGTCCATTGTGTCTCTCAGAGTAAGCAGTCCATGGATATTTTTGTTATTAATATTACTACAGAAGTGCAATTTCTTTCATCAAAGAGTTTACTCTCCAGTAGGAAAAAGATAGAAGAGTAACAAATAAAATATATTACAAGGATTTTATAGGCATGAAATTGTGTAATTTTGCAAGTCCACAAGAAGTAGCATTGTCTCCTTGAGGGGTCAGACACTTCACAGAAGAGGTGAAAATAAGTTGAGCACGTATTTGTTGCAAGGTATTTCTTACATGCAGAAACATGCAGGAACCCTTGGGGGTGTGGGGAAACAATACCCTTAAGTTAGACAACTCATAGCACGGATGAGAACACCGGCTTTCATGGCAAGTCTGCACCATCTTATCCAAAGCAAAGATGTTCTGATGCAGACCTAGCTGAGAAAGAAAAAGTGACAGAGAAAACAGATTTCCTCCTTATAATGTGTCAGGGAACTTGGAGTAGATTAAATCCCTGTAGGAAGGCAATAGAGAGGAGCGGCAGCTACTTTGACAGAGCTGAAATAGAGCCAGGAGCCCATTACTTTAATACTCAGGGAAACCAGACTGATCGGCATCAAAGCCATTCAGGAAAGGTGCGTAGATTGATGACATGGTCCCAGGTGACATTTTAGAGCAACAGCAGGCTTTCAATCCTGGGCACACTTCCAACTGACACCCAAATTATCTTCAGATGCTACAAATTCCTTAAGTTCCTACCAATGTATATAGTGACAAAAGGTAGCTACACAATAGGCACTCTGTCCTACTTGTTTACTAACTTATTTTGTAAACATAACCCAAGATTTGTTGTTAATTTATGTTGGGATTTGAGGACTGGAATATTATGTGTTTGATGTAGTACAATATTTGCTAGGCAAATTTATAAGCTGGCTCCAGATTACCTGGCTTCCATTCTATCCTTTCTTTTCCACTCATCTCAACAGTAATAGAATAGACAAAGATGCAGGAAATTTCATCTAAAAGGACAAAAATCTTAGAGCCAAGGAAGTGAGGTGGAATTTGAGTAACAGTAAAGATGGACAATATCCAGACACCTATGTGAAGCGTTAGCAAGAAAGCTGATGCTGTGCTCTGAAGTTTCAAAATGTAACCATCACGATCACAAAAAGGCTGCCATTAGCAAACAGAAGAGGCCTTGGCTGAGATGGAAGATTGCCCATCCCACCCCATTCATATTCCAGGAAAATAGAAGCCCGCTCAAAGTAGTTAGAAATTTATTGGAAGAATATAATTTTTCAAAATACAAACGTGCCAGTGCCATTCCCTGTTTAAATTACTAGTGACTGCAATGGCCTTCAGGATGAAAATCTATATTCTTTAGCAAGACATATAAATCTTTTCAACATGTTCTTCTCATCTGTTTTCTTAGGAGCACTCTGCTCACCCCTCAGCGCACACACACACTGCATCCTCTGCTCCAGTCATGCTGAAGTATTTACAGTTCTCAGAAGAATCATGTGGTTTTACACTTCCCTAACCTTGAACATGCTGCCCTATTACCTAAGTTACTCCTGGGCCGCAATAGTTCTCTTGGAATATTGCTGTGTTTTTGGAGAAAAATTGTAATTCATGTTTGTGTGACCTTAACAGAACAGTGAATAAACTCTAAGTTTTTTTCCACTAATCACAACTCACTTCCTCTTTATGATAATATATTTATGTTCATGCTTTGTCTAGGCAAAGAATAGGCAGGTGGAGAAGAGAAATTATATTCCAGGTGCAGTAGCATGTTCAAGGTTAGGGAAGTGTAAAACCACAGCATGATTCAATATACTTAATTCAAGCATTTTCAAGGCACAGTTTGAAATCAATTATACATTAGATACTTTTATCAGGTGCTAAGGTTTTCCAATAATATTCTAATTCATAGCAGCTCATGATGAAGATTATGAAAAGGCACCCTTAAGCTGTGCTTAGGGCTAAATTATATTGCTTGTTATTATAGAATCAACACCTAAATATAACCCAAATAGAGATGATATTGTTTATTCTAAAGATGAACAAGAAAGACATCATTTGGAAATATTTTTTAAGTTCAGATTCAAGTTTAACAATTTTTGCCTTGCATTCAGCTGGTTTGAAACACGAAAAAAATGCCCACTTTTGATTTTATCTGACAAAACTAGAGAAGAAAGTTTTCTATACACACTACAAAGGACAGATACTGTATTTAATACAGGAAAAAAATATGCTGAAGCAGTGCTCATTAACAAATACGTCATTTTTTTCCATTTTTGACCTTATGATTTTTGTCTGTAATGCCAATTGTTCTTTCAAATAAAGGATCCTCAAAATGTGGAGTCAAATCTGTGGGTATTAATGCAAAATAATTCACTGAAACTTTTCTGAATAATCGATATTATACCCTCATTATTCTGAATTTCTTTATTGCCTTGCATTTCTGCTCTTTCAATCACAAGTTGTGCTTTAAAAATATATATGTATATCGTTTGGGGATAATGAGAAAACTTTGCTCCTACCAGCTGGACTGAAAATTTTAAAAACACAGATAGAAAAGTTTATTACTCAGTTCATAAAAACCTCTCTAATGAGACAGATGAAAATATGAATTGCTTCTAATGAGCTCAGAATTGCATATACTTCCCTTGGTTTAATTTTCTAAGTGTTCATAGATATTTGTTGTTGTGCTTATTATGAAACAAGAAGTGGCCACTAGGCTGTGATAAACCAATTTGTGAGATTAAAGTGCTGAACTTGAACAGTTTCATTAAATTCTAAGTCATGAGTTGAAATTGGAATTTTAAAAGCCTCTTTTTCTTATTTACACAAGACCCATAGCATTTATGCAGGCAGAAAGTAGTGCCAATTAATGCTGACTCTGTTGATGAGGTCTAGAAGAGCTCCTTAAAAATGTTGTCTTTTTACCCTATCTCCCCTACATCTTTACACGCACCCTTGCCCCTAAAAATGCAAAGCTTGAGCTTTAATGACATTAAATCTCAACACCCCATAATACTCCAAGCTTATTTCCTGACTAGTACTCATTTACACGTTTAAAAATAAGTTCTTATATGCCTTATTTAATATGTTACACCTGGGAACTACAGAAAACCAGTTTATCAATTGAAGGGGAATTGATTGTTACAATGTGCTATTTCTTATATAAAGATGAACAGAATTACAGTAACTATTATTTGTATGCAAACAACAGCATCTAGCTAATTAGCGATGCTACTTAGAAATTATGGGTTTCTCAAAAAACTGCAGGGTGTAATAACATAGAATAAAAGATCATTAGCTTTCAGTAATGAAGTTCAAGGAAAATGAGCACCGCCTTTCTTTATCCTGCTGAAGCCAAATTAAAATATCTAATCTGAATATAAGCATATACCATTTAATGTATTTTAAATGTAATGTAAATTTCGGTACATATTGAAACACATGAATATATTTAAATTTCTATCAAGCATCATCAAAATATCTTGGCATTCTTAATTTCATCTATTCCCATACTTACAATAGGTGGCCACCAGAATGTTAAGGGGACAATTATTCATATGACTAGAAATATTGAACTGTCTTGACATACTATTTATCATTACTCCTATAGGCCTGTCTTATTACTATTCTTTTTACATATATAATTTTACATATGTTTATGTATGTGTAATATCTATATGTATATGTGTGTGTATAACTTGCGTATATCAGCGACAGCCTCTCCATAGGAAAAAAGGAACATTGATTTGGGGCCTTTCTGTATGATTTTGAAGTCTGTTCTCTTCCATAATCGTTTTTCAGACAAAAAAAAATCTTAAAAGTATTACATGCCAATAGTTTGTGACACAACTGTCAATATTTACGTGATGTGGGTTTTGCTGTGTTTGTTGTTCTTTAACCCCAATGCTAACATACATTAGGTGTGTAACCCTGGGTCACATGAATTAATTTCAATATGGCTCAGTTTTCTCACCTCCAAGATGAGCTTCCTACAGCACAAAAATGAAGTGAGGATATAATTAAATGGGGAAATCAGAGTAATTAGTACAGAGCCTAAAAAGTTATAGGCATGAGATAAATGTTCATCATCATCTGTTTCCTTCCTTAACCATGATGACGTCTCACTCCTGCTTCACATTGTTGGCAAAAGTAATTTGTCCTTCAGTAGTGAGTACAGTTAAAAAGCCTCTAGTGTGTTCTAATGTATTGCACACTGCTAATTTTTCACAAAAATTTAAAATAAGAATTATCCTTAGGAACCTGGGCAACCCAAAGAAAGACCATGGTGTTATTATTTTAACATTATTTTGTATTTCAAAGGCATATAGTGGTATTTGGGTCCCCAACTATCCTTTAAATACACACCACAACATGTATTTTTGGAAAATGGTTCCAGAGGAGACACAAAGGGTTTAGAATGGCAAATGCACTCTCCGGGCAGTAGGCCACAACATTATGCCCAGCGCAAAATATCTGTGTGCCCTCCCTCCAGCTTCTGCCAGTGTTGCTAAGTCAAAGGCCCTTCACGTAATTTCGACACTTGAGGAATTACATTCGCACCTGGAGACCCACTAATAAGCAGGATAAAACACCAGAAAACGTATTTCCAAAGTCGACTGCAACACTCCATCAGGTTATGTTATAATAAGCTCCTGCTATCAGAACTGCTGCAATGGGAAAACACTTTCAGAGGGAAAATTTGGATGGCCTAGAGTGGCTTTCATGTGTGTGTGTGTATATGTGTGTATGAAAATATATAGATACATATATACAGATTCATGTATATGAAGACTAGACAACTTAAGAAAAACGAGAAGAAAAATAAAACACAGATATTGTGCCTGAAATTATAATAACTGGAAACTGTAATGTAAAAACAGTTGTTTTTTTCCAATAAGCTTATAGAAAGCACACAGTCATTTTAGCTGAGAAAAAAATGACCCTTACAACATTAACCTATACGTCCATCTGTGGAGCCAAGTAGAGGTTTCATTAACGCAAAGGAATGGGCTGGAGGAGACAAGCAGAAATAGGCCATAGATTTGTACTCTTCTTCAATTTGCTTTTACATAGTTTGTTGTAATCTAAGAAACTGTTCCTCCTCCCAGAAGAAAATTTCTATATTCAACTTTCTTTCATTTTTTTTCTTTTTGTAATAATATCTTACTTGGGATTTCAATTAACCAATAGATTTCTGCCTCTTGCGCTAAATACTACATAAGCATGGCCTTTAATATTTTTGTAATTGAAGACTGTTAGCAGAACAATTAGCATGTAAAGCTAGAATGACCTTAGCTCTGTGCATCACTGTGATTAGTTTGGACTCTAATATCAGGTATATCACCAAACTGCCTTAGATACCAAGATAAAAAGCTTCTAGCTCTAGCCCAAAGAACATTGGGTAATAGTGTGATACTTGGGCAGTGAAACATAAAGGACAAACTAGTGTGATTATGTTTGATTTGTGTTGACTGAGAAACTGGGAAAAGTCCCTCAGACCTGAGAGTACCAGCAAATGAGGACAGAAATGGCCTGTCGGGTTTGTCTCCTTTGTAACTGCTGTACTATTTAAAAAACCTCATTTCAGCACAGTCTTTCTCCCCAGTGACATTTTCTTAAATTTTATCAGTTACAGGACTCATTTATTAGCAATGGCAACAAAATAGAATGCAACGAAAGAAATATTTGCTTTTGTTATTAAATAGGCTATTGTTGGCTTTAATTTAAAACATACATCATGAGGTTCCTAAGTTTTGCCAGGCCCTCTGCTTGTCGCTGGGAATACAAAGATGAAAAATATCTTCTGACTTTTGTATGTGGACCACACTGAATCAGAATACACCATAAACAGCCCATGCATTTGAACCTACATGACATATTATCTACACACAATAGTACGCGTTTCATGCTTTTGCAGGATTTCAAATCATATATTAAATCTTTTATAAAATCTCACATTTAGGAGAGTGAAACTGCTCTGTGTGATACAGTAGTGGCTACATATATTATAAATTTGTCCAAACCCACAGAATGTACTTCAGGAGTGAACCTTACTGTAAACTGGGGGCTTTGGATGATGATAAGTGCCCATGTAGCCTCATCAATGGTAACAATTGTACCACTCTTGTGGGGGTGTTGGTGATGAGGGAGGCTGTACATGTTGGGGGAGGAGGGGCACATGGAGCATCTCTGTACATTTCTCTCATGCTGTGAACCTAAAACTTCTCTAAGAAGTAAAATTCAGTTTTAAAAAAATATATAAATGCTATAATCTGTACGTTTCTAGGTCTGCTTGCAATATGCTTTGAGATTTAACCATTTCAATACGTGTCTCATTTGTGTTAACTCCTATGTATGTGTTTACTGTTTGCCTCTTTATAAATATTTACTTTTTTGTTATTACTCATAATGTGGAGGTGAACACTGTGCATACCTTCTTGGGGACAATTCAAAGAGTGTCTTTAGAAGTAAAATTCTTGGATAATAACTAAGTTTTCTTCAGCTTTACTAGATATGACTCAATTGTTCTAAAAATTGGTTATAAAATTTTTCACTCCCACTGATAGCGTATAAGCACTTTACTTGCCCAAACATAATTATTAAGATTCTTAAATTTTGCCAATATCAGGGTATGAGTGATGTCTCTGCTTTAATTTATATTTACCTGAATACAATGGGACGTCTTTTCATATATTAATTGGCCGTCCTTGTTTCTGTTTCTCTGACTTGCCTGTCAACACCTTTGTCCATTTTTCCTACTGGGTTTGTCTTTATGTTGTTATTTGTAGGGTTTCTATTTACATATTTTAAAATTCTGGATGTCAGTTTTTTTTCTTGGATTTTTTTTGTGTTGTAAATATTTTCTCCCAGTCTATAGTTTTGTAAGTTTTCCACTTGTGAATTACTGTGTTAATCACAATGTTTTTAATATTTTAAATTGTCTTAATATTTTCTCACGACTTCTCTACTTTGATTACTTGTTTCTCATTTTTTTCAAAAGTGATAAAGTTTTGCTTTTGCACTTGCTTTTTAATTTAACTAGAAGTGTTTTTGTTTGTGGTGTGAGGTAGAGATCTCGGTTCCTTTCTGTTTGTCATATAAGTGCCTACACATGTATGGGTGTCTTTCTTTTCTTTTCTTTTCTTTTTTTTTTTTTTGAGATGGAGTCTCGCTCTTTCACCCAGGCTGGAGTGCAGTGGCGCGATCTCGGCTCACTGCAGTCTCCGCCCCCCGGGGTTCACGCCATTCTCCTGCCTCGGCCTCCCGCGTAGCTGGGACTACAGGCGCCCGCCACCTCGCCCGGCTAATTTTTTTTGTATTTTTAGTAGAGACGGGGTTTCACCGTGTTAGCCAGGATGGTCTCGATCTCCTGGCCTCATGATCCGCCCGCCTTGGCCTCCCAAAGTGCTGGGATTACAGGCGTGAGCCACCGTGCCCGGCCATGTATGGGTGTCTTTCAAATGGCCAGTTCCCTTCCGCTAATATCTTTTTCTAACCCTACTCTAAATACCAAACTCTGTTGCTTTAATGATGCTTGATATCGGATATGGTGAGTCTCTCATCTAATTCTTCTTCAGGATTATTCCGACTCCTCTTGCACTGTGCAATTCTCCGTAATTGTTTTACATATATTCTATTAAATTCATTCATACTTAATTGTTGTGTTCCCCACACCATGGAATACTATGCAGTCATAAAAAAGGATGAGTTCATGTCCTTTGTAGGGACATGGATGGAGCTGGAAACCATCATTCTCAGCAAACTATCACAAGGACAGAAAACCAAACACCACATGTTCTCACTCATAGGTGGGAATTGAACAATGAGAACACTTGAACACAGGGTGGGGAACACCACATACGGGACCTGCCGTGGGGTGGGGGGAGGGGGGAGGGATAGCATTAGGAAATATACCTAATGTAAATGAGGAGTTAATGGGTGCAGCACACCAACATGGCACATGTATACATATGTAACAAACCTGCACGTTGTGCACATGTACCCTAGAACTTAAAGTATAATAAAAATAAAAAAAGAAAATAGAATTGCCCTTCTGGTGCATTAAAGATTGTTCTATTATCTAAATGATTTATAGAAATGTTGGTTTTTAAGTTGATTTTGTATTTAGCAATTTGCTTAACTTTCTTAGAACTAAAAACTTATTTGTACAGCATGTTGGATTTTCTCGTTAGAAAATCATGCTATTTGCTAATTAAATTTTCTTTCTTTCTTTGTAATTATTCCTTCTCCCTCTCCTTTCCTTCTACCTTCTGGTTTTCCTCCTCCTCTTCGTTTTTATTAATCTCTTATCTCAGTGTCTAGACTACCTGACATAATGTTAAACCAGATTTGTGAGAGGGAATTCTTAAAGTGTTCCTGAAATAATGGAAACGCTGTTAAAATTTTAGTATTCCGTATCTAGCTTTCTCTAGGTTACTGTATACCCCTTATTAGGTGACACAAGCTTGTTTGTATTTTTAGTTTGTTAAGTATTTTCCTATGAATGAAGTTTGAATTTGAATTTTTGCACAGATATGGAATTGATCCTAACTTTTTTTCTTTTTCTCTTTAATCTGTCCATGTGCTCTGTGTAGCCTGGCTTTGCTGTCAAAGTCATAGAATGCAGTTTGATTTATTTGTTATTTGTTAACGTTTTCTGAAGTAATATGTGTATGATAAAGATGAACTGATATTTGAAATTAGGTAAAACTTACATAGAAAACGTTTCCTTCTGGTTACATTTGAGGGGAAAATTTTTGTTGCAGTTTTAAATCCTTTAATGGAAATCCATTTCTTCAGTCTTTTGTCTCTAGTCAAATTTGGTAGTTAATATTTTTCCAGAGAACAATATGTACATTCAAACTTTTAAAATTATTGTTCAGTTGTTCATAGAATATGCTTAGTAGTTTTCTGTTGTTGTTGTTTTTGTTTTTTTGAGACAGAGTCTCACTGTCGCCAGGCTGGAGTGCAGTGACGCGATCTTGGCTCACTACAACCTCCACCTCCTGGCCTCCTGGGTTCAGGCAATTCTCGTGCTTCAGCCGCCAGAGTAGCTGGGATTACAGGCATGTGCCACCACAGCCAGCTAATGTTTGTATTTTTAGTAGAGATGGTGTTTCACCATGTTGGCCAGGATGGCATCGATCTCCTGACCTCGTGATCTCCCCGCCTTGGCCTCTCAAAGTGCTGGGATTACAGGTGTGAGCCACCGCGCCCGGCCTGCTTAGTAGTTTTTAAATGTCAGTGTTTATGCAATGATAACCTTTAACTTTTAAATTATATTTGTTTCAATAATTTTTATCAGTCTTTTTACATTTGCATATTATATAACTATAGTGTTTAAAGTTTCTGTTTTGGTAATTATTTCATTATTTTTTTATTTCATTAATTTACGCTCTTAGAGTTTTCTTTCTTTTACTTTATTTAACAAACACTTTAAACTAAAACTAAAGTTTTAGTTTGAACATCAAAATTCATTTTGTGTGCTTTTTAAAATTTTAATACACCCATTTGCAGGTGCAAATTTATATGCAAGTACCGCTTTAGCTGTGTTTCACACATTTTGTTATATGCCATGTACTGTTTCTCTTTTTAAATTTCAAATATTTCCTATGTAATTTCTTTAACCCATGAATCATCCAAGAATTAATTTTGAAAGTTTCAAAATCAACATTTGTGTGAATTTAATTATCTTTTTATGTTGAATTCTAATGTAATTTCAAATTAGCAAAATATATATTTTAATTTTTTATATTTTTGTGCTCATATTTTTAATGCTTCATATATTGGAAAAGAGCTCTACATTCCTCCATATATATCTACAATTGTCCATTTTATAATAGATTTTCTATATGTTTCTTATACTTTGCAGCATTTGCTATCAATTTATGATAAAACAGTATAAAAATATCACACCTTGTTGGTTTTTTTCTCTGTAATTCTACCAAGTTTT
This sequence comes from Homo sapiens, assembly GCF_000001405.40. Lineage (NCBI taxonomy): Eukaryota > Metazoa > Chordata > Mammalia > Primates > Hominidae > Homo > Homo sapiens. The sequence goes on from NC_000016.10 coordinate 61,224,314, forward strand.
GCTATGATGTAATGTACATCTATATTAGAGACAGCTGTGTCTTCTAGGTTTATTTTATTAATGTATGCTGTCTATTTTATTCTTGTTAAAGTTTTTTCTTATGTTTTATTTTGATTTTATTAATATGTCTATGGTAACTTTTTTGGTTATATTAGCAAACTAAATCTTTTCTCTCCATTTACATTCAAGTATTTTATATGGTTCTGTCATTTTGTTTTATCTTTTTTTATAATAATCACAGGATGATGTATTTTGTCTTTTGGTGGATTTTTAATAATTGTATATTTTGTGCTTGATATACGCTATTGAAATTTCTCTACTATCTTACTGTCTTCTGTTAGATCTGTATTGTATTCCATAATCTCTCTTTCTCTTTCTTTCTGTGCTATTGCTGCTGATTTGAAAACTATAGATTTTTGGGGGGAGCAGTACATCATTATTAACACTATTATTGTTATTACTTAAATATAAGTATTTTAAAAATATTAAAGGGTCAATAATCCTTGTTTTTCTCCTCCCTTTTTGGGTCTGAAAACACTTGAAATATAAATGCTGGAGTGAAAATATGTAGATATAGATAGTGACTGTATCATGGATAAAGCCATGTGAGCAATGTAACTTAGCTGTATGGCCATACGGGTTGCAAATACCTTATCTTTCAATTAAACTTACCTCTGCTCAGTCATTAGCATAGAGGGTCAACCTCAAAACTCCCTCCATAAGGACCATGAGAACAGGACAATTGTTAGTTAAAGTTGTCAACGTAGCCTGTCAATTTCCCTGAAGCTTTTTTTTTTTTAATCCCGCACCTGCCATTTGGATTCATTTCTTCCTGTCCTTTTGTATTCTGAGAGCCTGAAGTCAGCACTCATTTTTATTCTTAATTTCTGAAATCCTTCAGCAATTATTATTTCAAATACTTTTTCTCCTGCATTGTCTCGATTCTTCCCTCTACATTTGCTATTAAATTATATATTTAATCTCCCAAACTATTATCTATCTCTTCTTTGGTTTCTTGTATTTTTGCTGTTTCTTTATTTAACTGTGCTGTATTCTAAGTTCTATACCAATTCATTTAAATTTAGTAATTTTCTTTTTTGGTATTCCCCCACACTAGAATTCATATAACCTATTTAGTATTTTTTATCTTACAATGGTGATTTGTTTTTATTTCCATGATATGTATTTTAAGATGTTTATTATTTTTTATTTTCACATTTTCTTGTTTTATTCTGCCACGTTTTATTTTATAATTTTATTCTATTTTTAAATGGAAGTATTTCATGAATCATTTTAATCATTGTAAATTCTCATAGTTTAAAATATTGATGAGGGGTTTAATCTAAGTTTAACTTTACCTGGAATGTATTCATGTTCAGATTGCTGATTTCATTGGCTGTCTCAGTACACACTTTTTTACTCTTTGAAATTCTCCATTTGTTTATTCACCCACTGTGAGAAGAATGTTGTTTTCTTTCTTCTTTCCCTCTTTTTTCTTCTCAACTCCTGTATGTCCATCATGTTTTAGTGTCTCTACCCAGCTATGATGGCTCCTATAAAGCATTAGATTTTTATAGTGGCATTTATGACTTCCAGTAATAATTAGGGACAACCCAGATTCATCTCTTAGTCAGGGATAGTCACAGAGCTTTAGATTTTCCCTTTTGACTCATAAAACCTCTGTCAAACTACATGACAAACTTACATGTCAAAAATAGCCTCTGCCTACATTATATTTTCTTCTATCGGCAAGCCAGAGTTTTAAACCCTGATTAAGGAATAATTTTAATTCTCTTTTCCTCGAGAGAAACTCAATTCCCAATGGCCACTGCCTTCTTCTGAATCCAGTGACTAGAGACCCAGAGCTTCAGCCCTATCCATTGTTTCCCATTTCTGGGTGTTTCTGCACACATGCACACACACACACACACACACACGACTTTTAGGTTGCTTTCATGATAAACCAAACATTCGTGCTTTTGTTTCCATTTTTAATTGTTATTAGTGGGTATTTGGAGCACAAAGGGTTTGTCAAAGCATTAATTCTTTGAAACTAGTTCAAAACATTTAGAAATTTGTTTTTCTTCTAACCCCAGCAGCATGGTATGATGAATTAAGAATCTAAATTTTATATCTTTCTTATATCTTTACACTAACAACAAAATACATTTGATGTGAAAAATCTAGGCTTTGTGATTGTCCAGTAAAAGTAATTGAGAGGCCAGGCATGGTGGCTCACACCTGTAATCCCGGCACTTTGGGAGGCCAAGGCAGGTGGATCACCTGAGGTCAGGAGTTTGAGACCAGCCTCATCCAGATGGAGAAACCCCATCTCTGCTAAAAACACAAAATTAGCCAGGCATGGTGGTGCATGCCTGTAATCCCAGCTACTCGGGAGGCTGAGGCAGGAGAATCGCTGGAACCCTTGAGGCAGAGGTTGTGGTGAGCCGAGATCGTGCCATTGCACTATAGCTTGGGCAACAAGAGTGAAGCTCTGTTTCAAAAAAAGAAAATAAATAAATAAAAAATAATTAAGAAACTGCCACTAATACACAATGGAGTGAATCAGAGGCCGAGCCTATTTAAGTGCAACCTATATGTTTTATTTGAAATATAGAAATGTTAGCCCCATCACTTATTACTTGGGCAATCTGTTAATCTTTCTAATCCTTGTTATTTATTCAGCGAATGTAAACAATGATGGCTACCTCATGGAAATGTTATGAAAAAGAAATAAGTTCATGTTTCTGGAAGAGTTTTATAAATGGTAGGACATATAGGAGAAAGTATAAGACATAACATGATTATAATTACTGGTGTGGGTATTATTAATGTCATTAGTATTAATAATAGTTTAATACAGTAAACTGTTAATACAGTTTAATACAGTAAAATGTGGTTTCTTGCTACTTTTTTTTCTTTGAAACAGATAGGTAAATAGAAATAATTTTAAACAGAAAAATAGTGAAGTATTTCATGAAAGAAAATACTTTCCTACAAATTTCATATGCAAATACAGGTAAGCCATATTAGCAGCCAAAGCCTTTTTTACACTTTTAACATTAATTTTGTCTACTTGTGAATAACACTGAACCACCATGAGAACCCTAAGAACTGCTATATGGAAATGCACTGATAAAGACTGTCTTAGACTTTAAAGTAGGTAGAATTTGGTGATCTCCTCCATAAACATTAAGCCAGAAAGAAATATCAGTCATATGTCAAAGGAGCTCATGGATCAAACAAAACAAAAAAGTTATAACATGATGTAATAAATATTATTAAAAGGCCAACAGACGATGTTAAGAGAGCACAAACTAGTGGCATTTAACTTAGTTGGTGAGGCAGAGACAACAAAGGCTATTTATTTTATTCTTCTTATAGAGGGTCTCATTGATGTACTTAAAAATGAGTTTATGCCAGGTAATAGCATTGCAAAATTAAAATAAATCAACAGATAAAATAAGTCCCCATCAATACGTGCTGACTGCGGGTCCTGTTTTATGACAAGGGCTCTGTGACACACACTTTGACATGTTGCTTTAAAAAAAAAAAAATTTCTTCCTGATTTGAAGTTGAGTTCTTGGTAGATACGGTTACTGAGGAACTAAAAGCTAACTATGTAGGGTTTCTCTGAACTCTACTACTCTGCAGGCTTGTGGGAGTCTTATAAGAAGCTTGTATAAGGAGGCAAAAAATAAATGGGGTGGGTAAATGGTCTCATCTGATTTCTTGGGCTAAATAAATAATTTATGTGTAAAACCACTGACCTATGATGATAAGGAAATGTTGCTGAATAGAAAAGGAGATAATTTCCAAGGTGTGGTATGCCATGAATTTAATTATGAATGACATTGATTTTGGATTCTCAAATTAAAGTGTGCATACACATCTCTTTAAGGAAAATTGACATTTCAGTAAGAAATGATTATTTCAAATTTATGGTTATCTGAATCGCCCTATAATTTATCCTAACCTAAGGGAAATATCTACTAATGATCGGATCAATGATTTTCATATGAAGAAACCATGAGAACAAGACGTAAAATACTTAGCAAGCAAAAATAAGGTTTTTTATTTACTTTCATTAACATTTTATGAATTTGGCAAATATTAGTTAGATTTCTTTTCTTGTCCAAATTTATGTAGTGCAAACTCACAGTTACAGCCAGCTATGAAGTTAATGAACATTCTGCAAAATTCAAAATTAACAATGAGCCCAACTTGGAGATAATTCAACAGAAATTCAAACTGATGAAGTCAGCATAAATGGGTGTATTTCTTGACTGGTTTGTTCCGGGGATATTTTGGAGCATTATGTGGTTTTAACTTGTTTTATTGAAATCTATTTTCAACTGCTACTGACAAAAGATGGGAAAATATTACTTTAGGTCTTTTCCAAAAATGTTGTCAAAGTTTCCAGCCACACATAATTTAACTATATTTGAGAGTCTAGGACCATATATAGTAGGCTTCAGGGGGCATATGGGGATAATATACAAATATGTAATATACTTTAATTTTAATAATAAAATTTGTATATTGAAACATATTTTTTGAAACTTCAAACTCCACAAAAGATTGTCTTTGTAGGTTTCATGAGACTGTTGTTGGTGATATTAGTGATTATTTTTAAGATTGGGAAGGGGTAACATTATAAAATTAAGTGATAATGGCAATCACATTCAGGTCTATGGAATTTTCTACTAACAGCAAACTTTATTATTATCTAGTATAGGCATTTACCTAAGGTATATTATTCTCTTCATTATTAAAATAAACAAATTGATGTCCTGGAGGGGTTAAGTAACCTGTCCAGAGCCACATAGCTGGTAACGAAGACATAATCAGTA